>NC_000014.9:71732925-71884440 GCF_000001405.40 Homo sapiens | reverse complement strand
ACCTCTATACCCCCCAACTCCAAATAACCTCACTTCCTCTTCAGCACTCCACTGACAAGCTCTTGAGGCTTAAGACACTTTGTGCTTTCTTCTTTACCTCTTCGTGTAAGGATTTGTATTTCTCTGGCTGGACTGTCAGCTCCTTAAGGGCAGAGACCATCTCTCCTTTGCCCACATTCTATCATGACACAGCGGAGTCCCTGGCTCGCAGGAGGTGTTGTTGTACAAGATCTAAAGCTCTTTGGATAGGGAAACAACACAACGACACTGGGAGAGATGAAGGCAGAACTCCTAGGAAAGCTGTTACTGGAAAGGGGTCCCAAACCAGATGCTAAGAGAGGGTTCTCGGATCTCACACAAGAAAGAATTTGAGGCAAATCCATAGAGTAAAGTGAAAGCAAGTTTATTAAGAAAGAAAAGGAATAAAGAATGGCTACTCCATAGGCAGAGCACCAGCTTGGGCTGCTGGACTAAGGATACTTATAGTTATTTCTTGATGATATGCTAAACAGGGGGTGGATTATTCATGAGTTTTCCAGGAAAGGAGGATGGGGGCAATTCTCAAAACCTAGGATACTTCCCCATTTTAGACCACATAGGGTAACTTCCTGACATTGCCAAGGCATCTGTAAACTGTCATGGCACTGGTGGGAGTATCTTTTAGCATGCTAATACATTATAATTAGCATGTGATGAGCAGTGAGGACGACTAGAGGTCACTTTTGTTGCCATCTTTGTTTCAGTGGGTTTTGGCCAGCTTCTTTACTGCAACATGTTTTATCAGCAAGGTCTTTGTGACCTGTATGTTGTGCCAACCTCCTCTCTCATCCTGCGACTTAGAATGCCTCACCTCTTGGGAATGCAGCCCAGTAGGTCTCAGCCTTATAGTACACAGCCCCTACTCAAGATGGAGTCGCTCTGGTTTAGATGCCTCTGACAAAGGCCGGGCCACACTGAGGGTTGTCTAAGGACAGGTAATTTGGAGCTGGAGCTGTAGAGGCAGCTTAGTATAGCAATCAGGGTGGGGTTAGCTAGCTTTCATGGACTTTCTGTGGTTTAGCTAATTTGAATAATTTTGTGGACTCCAGGACATAGGGGCTGTCCCTAACTGTCCCATACCTGGCTCTGGGGCAATTACAGTGGGTGCACAGAGGTCCAGAGTCTGAGAGATGCTGGCAGTGTGAACTGAATCAGCCATTCAAAAAGGGGAACTAGTCGGCCTTTAGCCAGGCCCCCAAACTAGATGAAGATAGCATTTAGAAAAACCAAAAACTACATTACAGATACTTAATAAATATTTTCTGAGTTATCACATTGATTTAAAAAACCTGAAATTCCTTTTTCAGAGTTTACTTAGGCCACAGTTAAGAGGCTTAAAATGTAAATGCCCCTGAAAAAGGAAACACTGACTCGAAATCAGCCTCTCTAGGAAGTCAAGGCTCAGGTAAAAGCCTGGCACAGGAGGAAGTTTTGGGATATGTCATTAACACCCAAACAAGGGTTTCTTGGCTGTTTGACCCAGAACCAGCTCTGGCCTAATGAAAGGCAATTTAGGGGAAACATCTGGTAGGTGAAGGGATAAGCACATCTATATGATATAGTTTTTTGGAAAGCAGAGCAAGATATAAACAAAGATGCAAAAATCATCCTAATTAACATTAAACAGATTTTCTCTTTCTTTCACTCTTTTAAACCTATTAAATATCCTGAAAGGAATTAATTATAACCTTGGATTAGCTTTCTTTTCTCCTGGGCAGAAATCATTTTCATTGCTATTGGGCAAGAACCATTGTAATGCTATCAGTCATGAACGCAACTCAGACAAAGGTAAGCATCCCTAGAAAATCAGATCATTCCCATTAGGATAGACCTGTTCCATTCAACAGCACCTAGCACTTCATTGTAAGGTCATCCAGTAATGTCTTTTGCCTAGTTCCAAGTTCTGCATAATTTTTCTTAACGAACCACATATTTTAAAAGTGCTTTGCAGAAAGCAGGGGCTCAAACAGGTATGCATATACCAATGTTCATAGCAGCACTATTCATGATTGCCAAAAGGGGGAAGCAACCTAAATGCCCACATCAACACATGAATGGATAAACCAAATGCGATATACACATATACACATACAATGGAATATTATTCAGCCATAAAAAGAAATGCAATTCTGACATACACTACAGCACGGATAAAACTTTAGGACATTGTGCTAAGTGAAATAAGCCGGACACAAAAGGACAGATATTACATGATTCCACACATATAAGTTAGCTAGAATAGGTGAATTCATAGAGACAGAAAATAGAAGAGTGGTTACCAGAAGCTGAGAGGGGAAATTAACAGAGTTAAGGAATACAGAATTTCAGTCTGGGATGGCGTAAAAGTTCTGGGGATATATGGTGGAGATGGTTGTGGAACAATGTAGATGTACTTAATGCCACTGAATTGCACACTTAAATGGTTTAAAATGGTAAGTTTTATGTTATGCATATTTTATATACACATAACAGAAAACTTTCAGAGCATAGGCTTCCAATAAAAATAAAGGAAGGAAGGGAGGAGGGAGGAAGAGAAGAAAGACAAACAGACAGAGAGAAAGAAAGACATACTGTCCAATTGTCAGATACACCTTTAGTTTGGGGAATTTATGATTTTTGTCTCCTACATTGTGTCAGCCTCCACACTAAGCAGCTGTATTAGTCCATTCTCACACTGCTGATAAAGACATACCTGAGACTGGGTAATTTATAAAGAAAAAGAGTTTTAATGGACTCACAATTCCACATGGCTAGGGAGGCCTCACAATCATGATGGAAGGTGAAAGGCACGTCTCACATGGTGGCAGACGAGACAGAATGAGAACTGAGGGAATGGGGTTTCCCCTTATAAAGCCATCAGACCTCTTGAGACGTATTCACTACCATGAGAACAGTATGGGGGAAACTGCCCCCATGATTCAATTATCTCCCACCAGGTCCCTCCCACAACATGTGGTAATTATGGGAGCTACAATACAAGATGAGATTTGGGTGGGGACACAGCCAAACCATATCATTTCACCCCAGCCCCTCCCAAATCTCATGTTCTCACATTTCACAACCAATCATGCCTTTCCAACAGTCCCCCAAAGTCTTAATTCATTTCAGCATTAACTCAAAAGTCCACAGTCCAAAGTCTGATCTAAGGCAAGGCAAGTCCCTTCTGCCTATGAGCCTGTAAAATCAAATGCAAGTTAGTTACTTCCTAGATGCAAGGGGGGTACAGGCATTGGGTAAATACACCCATTCCAAATGGAATAAATTGGCCAAAATGAAGGGGCTGAAGGTCCCATGCAAGTCTGAAATCCAGTGGGGCAGTCAAATCTTAAAGCTCCAGAATGATCTCTTTTGACTCCATGTCTCACATACAGGTCACACTGATGTAAGAGGTGGGCTCCCACAGTCTTGGGCTGCTCCACCCCTGTGGCTTTGCAGGGTACACCCTCCCTCCCGGCTGCTGTCACAGGCTGGCATTGAGTGTCTATGGCTTTTCCAGGTGCATGGTGCAAGCTGTTGGTGGATCTACCATTCTGGGGTCTGGAGGACAGTGGACCTTTTCTCACAGCTCCACTAGGCAACACCCCAGTGGGGACTCTGTGTGGGGGCTCCAACCCCACATTTCCCTTCCACACAGCCCTAGCAGAGGTTGTCCATGAGGGCCCTGCCCTTGCAGCAAACTTGTTCCTGGACATCCAGGCATTTCCATACATCCTCTGAAATCAAGACAGAGGTTCCCAAACCTCAATTCTTGACTTCTGTGCACTCACAGTCTCAATATCACATGGAAGCAGCCAAGGCTTGGGGCTTACACCCCCTGAAGCCACAGTCTCAGCTCTGTGTTGGCCCCTTTTAGCCACAGTTGGAGTGGCTGAGGCAAGGGGCACCAAGTTCCTAGACTGCACAACAGCAGAGGGATCCTAGGCCTGGCCCACAAAACCACTCTGTCTTCCTAGGCCTCTGAGCCTGTGATAGGAGGGGCTACAGTGAAGACTTCTGACATTCCCTGGAGACATTTTCCCCATTGTCTTGGGGATTAATTTTCAGCTCCTCATTACTAATGCGAATTTCTGCAGCTGGCTTGAATTTCTCTCAGAAATGGGATTTTCTTTTCTACAGCATTGTCAGGCTGCAAATTTCCCAAACTTTTATGCCCTGCTTCCCTTATAAAACTGAATGCCTTTAACAGCACCCAAGTCACCTCTTGAATGCCGTGCTGCTTAGAAATTTCTGCTGCCAGATACCCTAAATCATCTCCCTCAAGTTCAAAGTTCCACAAATCTCTAGGGGAGGGGCAAAATGCCACCAGTCTCTTTGCTAAAACATAACAAGAGCCACCTTTGCTCCAATTCCTAATAAGTTCCTCATCTCCATCTGAGACCACCTCAGCCTGGACTTTATTTCCACATCACTATCAGTATTTTGGCCAAAGCCATTCAACAAGTCGCTAGGAAGTTCCAAACTTTCCCCCTTTTTCCTGTCTTCTTCTGAGTCCTCCAAACTGTTCCTACCTCTGCCTGTTACCCAGTTCCAAAGTTGCTTCCACATTTTTGGATATCTTTACAGCAGCACCCCACTCTACCAGTACCAATTGACTGTATTAGTTGGTTCTCACACTGCTGATAAAGACATAGCCAAGACTGGGTAATTTATAAAGAAAAAGAACTTTAATATACTCACAGTTCCACATGGCTGGGGAGATCTCACAATCATAGTAGAAGGCGAAAGGCACATTTTACATGGCAGCAGACAAGAGAGAATGAGAACCAAGTGAAATGGGTTTCCCCTTATTAAACCATCAGATCTTGTGAGACTTATTCACTACCACGAGAAAAGCATGGGAAAGGCCTGCCTGCATGAGTCAATTACCTCCCACCAGGTCCCTCCCACAACACATGGGAATTATGGGAGCTACAATTCAAGATGAGATTTGGCTGGGGACACAGCCAAACCATATCAGCACCTGTCATTTAATATTCACAACACTATAAGGAGTCATCTTGCTCATATTATAGTTGTTCAGAGAGGTTAAGTCAATTCTCTTAAGCCACACAGTAGAGTCAGTTCTGTCTTTAAAGCTCTTAACCATTTCTCTATATTGCTACTATTATGTCCAGCCAAATCTTCTTTCATTTCTAAATACAGCAAATTTCAGAATTAACTGTTATACCTTCAAGAACTTTCATTTTGTGCTTTCAAAGAGGGCAAATGAAAATAATTTTTTCTATAAATCCATATTGAGTTTTTTTCCTGGTGAGGTCTTACAGCTTAGAATTTTGAATCTTGGGGTTTTTCTTCCCTTTTTGTAAACATCGGGATCAGCATATTGCATGGTTGAGAACCCAGGTAAGGGTGCTGTGGGGGGAAGAAAAAAAAATACACTATGAAGTGAACGATACAGATATCCAGAAACATGAACATATCTGCCCAGTGTGTCTGACTCAATGACATAAAACCACACACAAAAGCAAAAGTTTGGTGGGACTCTAATTGTACATCAGCACCCCTAAAGAAAGGGAGCTATGGCAAGGATGAAACAAACTGCTGGATTTTTGTAAAAACTTACTGATACTGGTAGAGGTTCCAAGATGGCCAAATAGGAACAGCTCCAGTCTACAGCTCCCAGCGTGAGTGATGCAGAGACAGGTGATTTCTGCATTTCCAACTGAGGTACCAAGTTCATCTCACTGGGGCTTGTTGGACAGTGGGTGCAGGACAGTGGGTGCAGCCTGCAGACCATAAGCCAAAGCAGGGCAAGGCATTGCCTCACCCAGGAAGTGCAAGGGGTCAGGGAATTCCCTTTCCTAGCCAAGGGAAGCTGTGACAGACGGCACCTGGAAAATTGGGTCACTCCCACCCTAATACTGCGCTTTTCCAACGGTCTTAGCAAACGGCACAGCAGGAGATTATATCCCGTGCCTGGCTTGGAGGGTCCCACGCCCATGGAGCCTTGCCCACCACTAGCACAGCAGTCTGAGATTGAACTGCAAGGCGGCAGCAGCAAGGCTAGGGGAGGGGTGCCTGCCATTGCTGAGGCTTGAGTGGGTAAACAAAGTGGCCAGGAAGCTTGAACTGGGTGGAGCCCACCGCAGCTAAAGGAGGCCTGCCTGCCTCTGTAGACTCCACCTCTGGTGGCAGGGCATAGCTGAATAAAAGGCATCAGAAACTTCTGCAGACTTAAACGTCCCTGTCTGACAGCTTTGAAGAGAGTAGTCATTCCCCCAGCATGGAGTTTGAGATCTGAGAACATACAGATTGCCTCCTCAAGTGGGTCCCTGGCTCCTGAGTAGCCTAACTGGGAGGCACCTCCCAGTAGGGGCCGACTGACACCTCATACAGCCAGATGCCCCTCTGAGAAGCTTCCAGAGGAACTATCAGGCAGCAACATTTGCTGTTCTGCAATATTTGTGGTTCTGCTGCCTCTGCTGGTGATACCCAGGCAAATAGCGTCTGGAGTGGACCTCCAGCAAACTCCAACAGACCTGCAGCTGAGGGTCCTGACTGTTAGAAGGAAAACTAACAAACAGAAAAGACATCCACACCAAAACCCCATTTGTATGTCACCATCATCAAATGCCAAAGGTAGATAAAACCACAAAGAGGGGGAGAAACCAGAGCAGAAAAGCTGAAAATTCTAAAAATCAGAGTGCTCTTCTCCTCCAAAGGAATGCAGCTTCTTGCCAGCAATGGAACAAAGCTGGATGGAGAACGACTTTGATGAGTTGAGAGAAGAAGGCTTGAGACAATCGGTAATAACAAACTTCTCTGAGCTAAAGGAGGATGTTCAAACCCATGGCAAAGAAGCTAAAAACCTTGAAAAAAGATTAGACGAATGGCTAACTAGAATAAACAGTGTAGAGAAGACCTTAAATAACCTGATAGAGCTGAAAACCATGGCACGAGAACTACATGATGCATGCACAAGCTTCAGTAGTCGATTCAATCAACTGGAAGAAAGGGTATCTGTGATTGAAGATCAAATGAATGAAATGAAGTGAGAAGAGAAGTTTAGAGAAAAGAAGAGTTAAAAGAAATAAACAAAGCCTCCAAGAAATATGGGACTATGTGAAAAGACCAAATCTTCGTCTGATTGGTGTACCTGAAAGTGACGGGGAGAATGGAAACAAGTTGGAAAACACTCTTAAGGATATTATCCAGGAGAACTTCTCCAACCTAGCAAGGCAGGCCAACATTCAAATTCAGGAACTACAGAGAATGCCACAAAGATACTCTTCCAGAAGAGCAACTCCAAGACACATAATTGTCAGATTCATCAAAGTTGAAATGAAGGAAAAAATATTAAGAGCAGCCAGAGACAAAGGTTGGGTTACCCACAAAGGGAAGCCATCAGACTAACAGCGGACCTCTTGGCAGAAACTCTACAAGGTGGAAGAGAGTGGGGGCCAATATTCAACATTCTTAAAGAAAAGAATTTTCAACCCAGAATTTCATATCTAGCCAAACTAAGCTTCATAAGTGAAGGAGAAATAAAATCCTTTACAGACAAGCAAATGCTGAGAGATTTTGTCACCACCAGGCCTGCCCTAAAAGAGCTCCTGAAGGAAGCACTAAAAATGAAAATGAACAATTGGTACCAGCCACTGCAAAAACATACCAAATTGTAAAGACCATCGAGGCTAGGAAGAAACTGCATCTACTAACGAGCAAAATAACCAGCTAATATCATAATGACAGGATCAAATTCACACATAACAATATTAACCTTAAATGTAAATGGGCTAAATGCTCCAATTAAAAGACACAGACTGGCAAATCGGATAAAGAGTCAAGACCCATCAGTGTGCTGTATTCAGGAGACACATCTCATGTGCAGAGACATACATAGGCTCAAAATAAAGGGATGGAGGAAGATCTACCAAGCAAATGGAAAGCAAAAAAAAAAAAAAAAAAAAAAAAAAAAAAAAAAAAAAGCAGCGGTTGCAAACCTAGTCTCTGATAAAACAGATTTTAAACCAACAAAGATCAAAAGAGACAAAGAAGACCATTACATAATGGTAAAGGGATCAATTCAACAAGAAGAGCTAACTATCCTAAATATATATGCACCCAATACAGGAGCATCTGGATTCACAAAGCAAGTCCTTAGAGACCTACAAAGAGACTTAGGCTCCCATACAATAATAATGGGAGACTTTAACACCCCACTGTCAACATTAGACAGATCAATGAGACAGAAAGTTAACAAGGATATCCAGGAATTGAACTCAGCTGTGCACCAAGTGGACCTAATAGACATCTACAGAACTCTCCACCCCAAATCAACAGAATATACATTCTTCTTAGCACCACATCGTACTTATTCCAAAATTGACCACATAGTTGGAAGTAAAGCACTCCTCAGCAAATGTAAAAGAACAGAAATTATAAGAAATTGTCTCTCAGACCACAGTGCAATCAAACTAGAACTCAGGATTAACAAACTCACTCAAAACTGCTCAACTACATGGAAACTGAACAACATGCTCCTGAATGACTACTGGGTACATAATGAGATGAAGGCAGAAATAAAGATGTTCTTTGAAACCAATGAGAACAAAGACACAACATACAAGAATCTCTGGGACACATTTAAAGCAGTGTGTAGAGGGAAATTTATAGCACTAAATGCCCACAAGAGAAAGCAGGAAAGATCTAAAATTGACACCCTAACATCACAATTCAAAGAACTAGAGAAGCAAGAGCAAACACATTCAAAAGCTAGCAGAAGGCAAGAAATAACTAAGATCAGAGCAGAACTGAAGGAGATAGAGACACAAAAAACCCTTCAAAAAATCAATGAATCCAGGAGCTGGTTTTTTGAAATGATCAGCAAAATTGATAGACCGCTAGCAAGACTAATAAAGAAGAAAAGAGAGAAGAATCAAATAGACACAATAAAAAATGATAAAGGGGATATCATCACCGATCCCACAGAAATACAAACTACCATCAGAGAATACTATAAACACCTCTATGCAATTAAACTAGAAAATCTAGAAGAAATGGATAAATTCCCATACACAAACACCCTCCCAAGATTAAATGAGGAAGAAATTGAATCCCTGAATAGAACAATAACAGGATCTGAAATTGAGGCAATAATTAAGAGCCTACCAACCAAAAAAAGTCCAGGACCAGATGGATTCACAGCCAAATTCTACCAGAGGTACAAAGAGGAGCTGGTACCATTCCTTCTGAAACTATTCCAATCAATAGAAAAAGAGGGAATCCTCCCTAATTCATTTTATGAGGCCAGCATCATCCTAATACCAAAGCCTGGTAGAGAGACAACAAAAAAAAGAGAATTTTAGACCAATATCCCTGATGAACATCGATGCAAAAATCCTTAATAAAATACTGGCAAACCGAATCCAGTAGCACATCAAAAAGCTTATCCACCACAATCAAGTGGGCTTCATCCCTGGGATGCAAGGCTGGTTCAACATACGCAAATCAGTAAACGTAATCCATCAGATAAACAGAACCAAAGACAAAAACCACATGATTATCTCAATAGATGCGTAAAAGGCCTTCAACAAAATTCAACAGCCCTTCATGCTAAAAACTTTCAATAAATTAGGTATTGATGGGATGTATCTCAAAATAATAAGAGCTATTTATGACAAACCCACAGCCAATATCATACTGAATGGGCAAAAACTGGAAGCATTCCCTTTGAAAACTGGCACAAGACAGGGATGCCCTCTCTCACCACTCTTATTCAACATAGTGTTGGAAGTTCTAGCCAGGGCAATCAGGCAGGAGAAAGAAATAAAGGGTATTCATTTAGGAAAAGAGGAAGTCAAATTGTCCCTGTTTGCAGATGATATGATTGTACATTTAGAAAATCCCATTTTCTCAGCCCAAAATCTCCTTAAGCTGATAAGCAACTTCAGCAAAGTCTCAGGATACAAAATCAATGTGCAAAAATCACAAGCATTCCTATACACCACCAACAAACAAACAGAGAGCCAAATCATGAGTGAACTCCCATTCACAATTGCTTCAAAGAGAATAAAATACCTAGGAATCCAACTTACAAGGGATGTGAAGGACCTCTTCAAGGAGAACTACAAACCACTGCTCAATGAAATAAAAAAGGACACAAACAAATGGAAGAACATTCCATGCTCATGGATAGGAAGAATCAATATCGTGAAAATGGCCATACTGCCCAAGGTAATTTACAGATTCAATGCCATCCCCATCAAGCTACCAATGACTTTCTTCACAGAATTGGAAAAAACTACTTTAAAGTTCATATGGAACCAAAAAAGAGCCCACATTGCCAAGACACTCCTAAGCAAAAAGAATAAAGCTGGAGGCATCATGCTACCTGACTTCAAACTATACTACAAGGCTACAGTAACCAAAACAGCATGGTGTTGGTACCAAAACAGAGATATAGACCAATGGAACAGAACAGAGCCCTCAGAAATAATACCACACATCTACAACAATCTGATCTTTGACAAACCTGACAAAAAGAAGAAATGGGGAAAGGATTCCCAATTTAATAAATGGTGCTGGGAAAACTGGCTAGCCATATGTAGAAAGCTGAAACGGGATCCCTTCTTTACATCTTAAACAAAAATTAATTCAAGATGGATTAAAGACTTAATTGTCAGACCTAAAACCATAAAAACCCTAGAAGAAAACCTAGGCAATACCATTCAGGACATAGGCATGGGCAAGGACTTCATGACTAAAACACCAAAAGCAGTGGCAACAAAAGCCAAATTGAGAAATGGGATCTAATTAAACTAAACAGTTTCTGCACAGCAAAAGAAACTACCCTCAGAGTGAACAGGCAATATACAGAATGGGAGAAAATTTTTGCAATCTACCCATCTGACAAAGGGCTAATATCCAGAATCTACAGAGAACTTAAACAAATTTACAAGAAAAAATCAAAAAACCCCATCAAAAAGTGGACGAAGGATATGAACAGACACTCCTCAAAAGAAGACATTTATGCAGCCAAAAAACACATGAAAAAATGCTCATCATCACTGGTCATCAGAGAAATGCAAATCAAAACCACAATGAGATACCATCTCACACCAGTTAGAATGGTGATCATTAAAAGGTCAGGAAACAACAGGTGCTGGAGAGGATGTGGAGAAATATGAATGCTTTTACACTGTTTGTGGGACTGTGAACTAGTTTAACCATTGTGGAAGACAGTGTGGCGATTCCTCAAGGATCTAGAACTAGAAATACCATTTGACCCAGCCATCCCATTACTGGATATATACCCAAAGGATTATAAATCATGCTACTATAAAGACACATGCACACGTATGTTTATTGCGGCACTATTCACAATAGCAAAGACTTGAAACCAACCCAAATGTCCATCAATGATAGACTAGATTAAGAAAATGTGGCACATATTCACCATGGAATACTATGCAGCCATAAAAAAGGTTGAGTTCATGTCCTTTGTAGGGTCATGGATGAAGTTGGAAACCATCATTCTGAGCAAACTCTTGGAAGGACAAAAAACCAAACACCGCATGTTCTCACTCATAGGTGGGAATTGAACAGTGAGAACACTTGGACACAGGATGGGGAATATCACACACGGGGCCTGTCGTGGGATGGGGAATGGGAGAGGGATAGCATTAGGAGATATACCCAATGTAAATGACGAGTTAATGGGTGCAGCACACCAACATGGCACATGTATACATATGTAACAAACCTGCATGTTGTGCACATGTACCCTAGAACTTAAAGTATAATAATAAAAAGAAGTATAATTATTCACAAAAAAAACTTACTGATATTGGGTTTTGGAATAGACTGTCTTTATTTACACATACCCCCTCTTCCATTCTTAGAGTTCTATGCAGTTGGAGTATTAGATTTAACATTCTCTTTAAGGAGTTTCCACATGAAAGGGATGACAAGAGACCCAAGTATCCATAGCAGCTAGTGAGCACCTCTCAATCCGGGTTAAGTTCCAAGGGCAGAAAAGACAGCACTGCGTTAAGCTGAGAAGAAAAGGAATCACTCCCCCTTTCCATCCTGATCAGAGTCCCGCCATGCCACATAGATCAGGCAAACCTAGTCCTGGAAACTGTGTACCATAGGCAAGAGGGTAGGAGTGTCAGCAGCAGAAGGAAGCCCTGAGTCACCGAATCAGTTCTTCTTTTATCTGATCCTGTGGATGGAAGTGTAGAAAACTGCTCATTTTTCAGCTTCTCTTAGTGAGACGAACATGAGTTGGTGGCTGAGGAGTTGGGGTGGTATTGTGTTCACTTGTAGTTAGAATTGAATCAACTTCTGTCTAAACCAGGGCCAGAGTCCTGCTGGGTGGCTGCCCACAGCATGCTCCCTGCAAAGTTGTCAAGGAGCAGGGAAGCCTACCTGGCTCCTTCCTCACCTTCCCTCTCATCTCCACCATCCCCTCCACCACCCCCTCCACCCCCATACACATTGAGCTCAAATTCAGTGCTCCAGGAAATCGATGTTGGAGGTTTAGATGTAAGTGGGTGACAGGACACAGTACAGATGCTCAAGGAAAATTCATTCGACAGTAGGGGGCACAGAATGAGCTGGAGAGGAAAAGAATGCTGTTGGCTAGATTCCTTGACACAATAACTCAGGAGTGAGATGACGAAGATCTTGGTCAGGGTAATAGACATGGGAACAGCAAAAAAAGGGAAAGGAAAGAGGGATAGTCTGAACCTGATGGTCATGCCAATGTGGTGGGTGGAGACAAAGGGGTCAGGGAGGACCTCAAGGCACTGGGCTTGCAGGTGACACCTAGGTAACATGAGCATCCATATGGAAAAAATCTACAGTCAGGAATAGAGGCTGGTTTAGGGGAATCCACAAGGTAATATTTAGGGAGTCAGCTTTTTGGGAATTAGCTTTCAAAAGAGGGAAAAAAATCAGATCAAAGAGCTAAAGACCAAACCTTGGGAATACACAGTGTACGTTCTGAGGAGAGAAGGTCCTCAGAGACGAGAGGAAAGAATATGGAAATCATTTGGGGAATAACAATAAGGAGATTTATGTAACCTCGGGAGGCAGTTTGGCTTCTATCAAGCACATGTCTATAGTCTCTGTTGGCCTCTATTTTTTGTGAGTAGAAGATTCTGGAGAAAATGCCCTGGTTTGGGATGTCCCCTCTATTCCTTTTCCTTAGTCATTTTTTGACTGTTTTGATTGCTTTGTCCAACCATTCAAACTACCCTGAACTCACCAAATAGTCCTCACCCCCCAAATAGCAGGTAGAGCCTAGAACAGACCCAAACAAGCTCAGTCTATGGGAACAGGGTCTCAGCGCCAGAAGCTCTACCTGTGCTGTTCCATTCTGTGCCACAAGTCAGCTGGAACCCCTGGGCTGGGGAAAGCTTTGGCTGAACTGTCAAACAGAGGATTTCATTTCTACAATGTTCCCACCTCACTAATGTAATTTTCTCCTCCTCCCAGGAGAACTTGTACACAATCTCTGCCAGCCCCAGAAAGTTCCAAGCCTCTGCACACCTTTTAGAATGACTGGGATGGGAGGCCCAAGGCCTCCTAATAAGGCTCACTTTTCAAGTGAGTCCTCAGCTGGGTGATCACAGTGGACAGTTCTGGAATCCTGGGCCCACACTGGGAGGGAAAAGACCCTGGCAGCTGCCCCTATGCACCTGGTTGTCATCCCTGGCTGCAAATGCCCTCCCTCCAGATGTTCTGAGCCAGGGCCTCCAGGGTGACTACCAGAATCAAACAGTGACAGTAGTTGAGCACCACAGATCTTTGGAAAATCATTTCCCCAGGAACTTTTCCTAGCCTTGGTGTGCTTCCCGTGATACCAAGCCAGTATCACTGTGGAAACGCCTCATTCCTCACTTACAGAGCAGGCACAAGCCCACTAAAACCCTCTTAGCTCTGGATGAATTCTTAGACTCCCCAGACCTCTGTAGCAACAACTCCTTAAATAGTATCCAGGGGCCATATGCAAAATCACACCCTCCTATACCCCAAAACACAACCTCTTCACCTTCCCACCCTCAACAGCACTGGGTATCTCATAAGGAGGTAGTAATGTAAATTAGCCTAACTAAGGCTGAAGACTCTTCCTTTCTATTTTCCTCCTGCTTTCTAGGTGAATCAGACTCATGTAATTGTTATTCTGGCTATTCTGTTTTCTTTAGCCAAATTGCAAAGGAGCTAATCATTGAATGAAAAAAAGAAAAAAGAAAGAAAAAGCTCAGTAGAGATGGTTTTGATTCCTGGTCATACACGATTGGCCACTGTGTGATTACAAAAGAAATTGATTGGGTGATGCCCAAAAGACCTTGGCCTGGAGTTAGACAGTTTAGCCCTTTGGGAAACTACTGTCTTAGTCCATTTTGTGCTGCTATAACAGAATACCTGTGACTGGGTAATTTGTAATGAATAGAAATGTATTGGCTCACAGTTCTGGAGGATGAGAAGTCCAATATCAAGGTGCTGGCATCCAGCAAGCGACTTCTTGCTATGTCATCACAGGGCAGAAAGAGAGAGGGCAAGAGAGTAAAAGGTGATCAGACTCACCCTTTTATAACAACACCAATCCCACTCATGAGGGTGGATCCTCATGGCCTAATTGCATCTTGAAGGTCACACTTCTCAATAATGTCACAACGGCAATTCAATTTCAACACAAGTTTTGAGGGGACAAATATTCAAACCATGGCAACTATATTGTGTCAAGTTTTGATATGCCATCAAGTTTTAGGGTTCAGCAAAAAAGGTTGCCTAATTTAGTTGGCAGAAATTCTATAGCTATAATGGGTTTTCTGTCTTTCAAAATGGATATTTTACTTTCAATTTAGCCCACTGAAGGATAAGTCATTTTCCTTTGTTGGGGAAGCTTGTTAAGTTCAGTTTGAGTCTCAGCAGTGACTGTAGCAACAGTGTTTAGAGAGTAATTTTGTTTCCCCCAATTACTGTCATTTCAACATAATTCCATTTGCAAGGCAAAGGATGGTCTCCCTCCACCTGGGAAAGGTCCCCTGGAATCACAGTCATGGTAGTCACATTGGAGCTGGGGGCTGAGAGCCTTTCTAATTTCACTTTCTTCTGGCAGACAAGTGATCACTTGTTGGTATAATGCAGATAAGAAACCTACTTGCTCATCTCTAGCTGCTAGCATCTTCAGTGCTAACACTCACAAGGTTAAGCCAATTTTAAAGGCGAATCTGGCATAGAACCTAAAATGCAATACTTTGAAAATGCAAGGCAGGTTTTTACACCTGTCCCAGCCCAGCATGACTTCCTCAGAAGCAGAGCTCGAGGCAAAGACTTAGGTGTTATTCCTTATTAAGGAGTACAATCCCAGGGAAGTAAGAGTGAGCAAAAAGAGGGGTGAGGCAGAAAAGGAGGGATGCTTGGTGTCAAGCACAGCTGACTGCTTAATCTCAAAGGCTTAACTTCAGAGGGGTGCTGTATATGGCATCCCAAGGCAGTCTGTCCCTGGAAGAAAGGGGACATCTCTTATTGGTCACAGATTCACTCACAGGGCATGAACTTCCACACTTTGGGGCTGTGCTAGGCACCCTAGAATATCTCACAGTAGAGTTGTGGCTCCCCATCATTAGGAATGCCCCGGGGAGGGGGTGGAAGAAGTGCAGTAGGACGAGAGGCCAAGGGGTTATGGAATTGTGCTCTTCTGAAGTTGACTGGAGTCCTTGAGAAAATGTCCACTGGAGCAGCCCAAGTGGTCGTAGGTCCCAAGGACAGGTGAGACTGAGAGAAATCGAGTGGTTCACTAAAGGTATTTAACACAAAAATGTACCATAAACTGGCTTTCTAGAACTTTCTTTCATATCTGTACTGTGTGACCACCTCATTACATGTCCTATCAAGCCTTCACAAAGAGCATACCATTGATGTAAAACAGTATGGTCAACTGGACAACTTTTTGAAAAGAAATATAATTGGTTTAATGAAGAGGAATCCCATATAGGAGTGTAAATATGATATGGTTCTGCTTTTCCAGTCCCTGCTTTCTGCTGGGCTCTGTCTAATACTTCTTCCCACTAGAAGAGTGAAATTCCTTAAAGACATGTCAGTTTAAGCCCATAGCTCTTCAATCACTTTCAGTTATCAAAATCATCTCATTTTAGGCCATAAAGTTCAGTTCCTGTTTATAGGCACCTCTCAATTTCAAATTCAAGGCACAGCTCCCCATCCTGCTCACCCTTGCCAAGCCCAGACTAGACTGGAGCATTACGGGACACAGTCAACTCTCCCTGACACACCCCTCCTGACTTGCTATGCAATTCCTGCTGATGTTGGGGTGGGAGGAGAGAGCAGGAAGATAGCACTGGCTCCATACAAGCCGGTGGACGTTTGACCCTTTCCTTGGTTGGTTGTAACTACTTTTCTGTTTTCTCTCATCTGGATATGGATGGATGATGGTCTCAACAGGCCTCATGGATGTGAGACTCACTTTCAAACTGATTCTGAGGTATGTGGAGTCCCTTAAGAGGAGCGATCACATCTTCAGGATGGCCCCACTATGGGTAGTCTAAGCTGCCCTCCCTGGGAGGCCTTGGCTCCTTGCTCCTTGGTGATGGCCCCCAGTGAGCCCACATCCCCTACCTCATCAACCCAAAAAGGCCCATAATCCTGGAATTGGCCAGCATACGTAAAATCTATCTATTTTCTGTACCTCTAGGAATAAGATGTGTGAAGGGATGGTTTTTGCCTCCTCCTTATCTGGTCATCTCTCTTAATCATCTCTCCAAGGGTTCTTTCTCTAGCCCCAACCAGCAGTTGAAATGCCAGCCTACCCCTCTCGAAGACATTCCCATGTTGTACAGATGATTCTCTCCAGGCCCAGCTCCTTCCACTTGTCTTGGAGTTACTCTCCATCCCCATAAGGAGAGCAAGGTGAGACACAGCTGCTTTTCATACTGTTCTCCTACTTAAAAAACCATTTCGCCCCCTCACAGTCCTCTATTGGATGTGAGATGATGGGATGGGAGACTAGGAGGGGCTGCAAGGAGTACTGGGATTTGGTGTTGGTGCTAGTGTGGGACCTGCTGAAAGTGTTGCCTCTCAGCAAGTGATTCTGGAATGTTTCTATGCCAACAGCTGGCCATCCTCTTTATTTATGATGTGGGGAAACTAGTGGTTTTGTTTTCAGCAGTAAAGTGAATTATCAGTTCCAAACAATGTGGAAAACAACTCCTACTTGGCACCTATCTTCATCTTGTTGCATAAATATCTCCACATTTTTTTTAAGAGACAGAGTCTCGCTCTGTCACCCAGGCTGGAGTGCAGTGGCATGATCACAGTTCACCGCAGCCTCGAAGTCCTGGTCTCAAACAATCCTCTCACCTCAGCCTCCCCAGTAGCAAGGACTATATGTGAACACCACCACACCCAGCTAACTTTTAAAATGTTGTTATAAGACATGGTCTTGCTATGTTGCCGAGGCTGACCTCAAACTTCTGGCCTCAAGTGATCCTCCCACCTCCGACCCCTAAAGTGCTAGGATTACAGGTGTGAGCCACTGTAGCTGGCCACTAACTTTTTAAAGGTATTATTAAGTCTGGTGCCTTTTGGGGTGATTTTGCAGCCTCTATGAACTTTTGTCTGTTTTTCCTAATGTTTTCATGTCTGCCTGAGGAAGGTTTGCTGGTTGTTCCTTTACTGTTTAGTTCATTTCTAGCCAATGATCCCTGACCTACTCTGTGGAATTGCTAGCCATCACATCTAAGTTCCAGGCACCAGGACTTGAAGCTGGGAAAAGCCCACTCCACCCCTTTTAAGGAGATGTTCTGGAAGGACCACATAACCCCTCTGCTAAGGTCAGAACCCAGTCCCAAAGCCCATCCAGCTACCGGGGAGGCTGGGAAAGGCAGTCCTCTGGCTGAGCGCATTGCTGCCTCAAATAACATGATAGTAACGTAGGCAACTGGGAGTCTCTACCGCATCCACAGAGCACGAAAATCCCAGATCATTCTCTTTTATGGTTTAATTAAAGAAGTTTCCTAAATTATTTTTCCTATTAAAAAAGCAATCAGTATTTGTTAAAAGGAAAAAAAATAAACAAATGTAACTATAGGTTCATGCAAAAGTAATTGTGGTTTTTGCCATTACTTTATTTTATTTTATTTTGAGACGGAGTCTCACTCTGTTGCCCAGGCTGGAGTGCAGTGGCACCATCTTGGCTCACTGCATCCTCTGCCTCTCAGGTTCAAGTGATTCTCCTGACTCAGCCTCCCGAATAGCTGGGACTACAGGCACATGCCACCATGCCTGGCTAATTTTTGTATTTTTAGTAGAGAGGAGGTTTCACCATGTTGGCCAGGCTGATCTCGAATTCCTGACCTCAGGTGATCCAGCTGCCTTGGCCTCCCAAAGTGCTGGGATTACAGGCGTGAGCCACCATGCTTGGTCTGTTTTTGCCATTACTTTAAAGGCAAAATCACAATTACTTTTGCACAGCCTAATATAAAGTACCCCCATAGGCCTACCCATCAGAAACAATCATTAAGATATTTATCTTCTAGATTTTTCTATCTGTGCATATATGTCTTTTCTATAAGAATGGCTGGGCGTGGGTGGCTCATGCCTATAATCCCAGCACTTTGGGAGGCTAATGTGGGTGGATCACTTGAGATCAGGAGTTCGAGAACAGCCTGGCCAACATAGTGAAACCCCATCTCCACTAAAAGTACAAAAATTAGCTGGGCATGGTGGTGGGGACCTGTAGTTCCAGCTACTTGGGAGGCTGAGACAGGAGGATCACTTGAACCCGGGAGGCAGAGGTTGCAGTGAGGCGAGATCACGCCTCTCACTCCAGCCTGGGTGACAAAGCAAGACTCCATTTCAAAAAAAAAAAAAAAGAAAAGATTACACATCTGTAACCCTTAGGTCTAGGTCTTGATAAATAGGTAATTTGAGGGGATATCTGAGGATTTTCTTTGAAATATACTGTAATTTATTTCAGCAATCCACCAAGTGTTGGACATGGGGTTATTTCAGCTATTTCTCTTTTGCCAAACATTTTGGGTGTTTCCAATTTTTCATTACCATACACAGTGTAGAGCTGGAATTGTTTGAAATTTAATTCCAAATTTAAAACATCAAAAGAATAAGAGAAAATACTTACTGCACTGAAAAAAGTAAAGAGGGGAGACAAAAAGTGCCAAACACATGCATTAATGATTGCAAAACCTCCCTTGTGATCAGCCAAAATGATTTAACAAATGAAAAATCCATGACTGAAATCCATTTTTGACCAAAATTATCTCACTGGCCAACTTATGTTTGACCAAATTGCTTTTGCTCAAATTGCTTTCAGTCCAATCATCTGGAGCTGAATTAAATGAGCAAACTCTCTTGGAAGGCATTTAGGGCACCCAATTTGAACCTGCATCTTTTTCTTTAGAGAAGTGTTAGGGTAAAGTTGGTAGGATGTGCTATTGCCCTTTCAATCAGAAAGGAGAAGTTACACACTGAAGACCCATCTTTTTACTTTCTCAGACCTCAAGTTTTGCTCAAATAGGATTCCAAAAAGTTTGGAGCACCTCTTCAGAATACACAATCAGAGATTTTCTGACACACCTCAGATATAGACAGAGGATGCCCAGAAGACCCACCCAGCCTTGAGTTCTTAGAAACAAGGAGGCTTTCACTCCTTTTGATACCCATCCCAGAAACAGAGAATGAACTGCTCTTTTCCCTCGGCTTTTCTCAGGATTTCTCTGAAGCTAAATTAATTGCCACCTTTTGTACTCATGACTGCGGATTCATTTCTCCAAGAGTCCCTTTCCTTGAGAGGCACTGAAATAATGTCTTATGGCAATTTCCTGGCCCTTTTGTTTTTTTCTGCCTTTATCTCATTAACTCCAGCAACCGGGCCCTCGGCAAAGGTAATGAGGGAATCCTACTTTTTGTGGGGATAAGAGGACCAACTTGAGTGTTATCCATCAGGTAGGTGCAGCTGAGCTCAGGGGAAACATGTGGGTAGTTCTAAGCCAAGCCAGCCTATCTATCCAGATTCCCTTAGGGACTAGGTTCTGCAGGAAAGCTGTGGAGATCTGAGAAGGCACCTTTTAAGCATCAACATTTTTATTTTATTTTAGTCATTTAAGATGGCAATCTTTTGTAGAGAATTTGTAATCTAGCAGGAGAGATAGAGAATTTGTAGAGAATTTGTAGTCTAGCAGGAGAGATAGAGAACTAATCAACTAGTTACAAAACTTTCTGGTAATTAAATGAATTGTGAAAAGAATGGTTTGGGAACACAGAAAGTAACATCTAACTCTCCCTGACTTTCAGAAAGGGAGATCCTTAGAGAGAAGTTGATGTCAAGCGTTAAAGAAATGCTCCAGTTCAAAAATAGTGAAGATGATGGAAGAACATTCCAGGCATAAAGAAGCATATGCAAAAACCCAGACTTGTAAAGGACATGCTTAGAGGAACTTCCAACAGTTTGGGCTAGCCAGATGGTAGTGTGCATTGGTGAATGGAAAGAATTTGGACTAAGTCTCAGAGAGGCTGGTATGTCATACTGAAAGGTCTAAATACGACTCTTGAACTTCTTTTACAGGGAGGGAATACATAAGCTCGTGACACTCTTTGGGGATGTAAAAAAATCAAATGTCATTTATATGTGGTACATGATAAAGAAAGAGTTTTGCATTAAAAATATTTTTAGGTTAGTATTATTTCAGATTATAATACATTTCACTTTTTAATGCCATCTTTAGTAATTATTTTAAAATATAAATATTTTGTTCCACTTAATAAGCAACACATGCTCCTTAATTTAACTTAATTATGTAAGGAAAGGCATGATTTCTGACCAATCCATTTAACATTAACATCTTGTTTTGTGGGTGTGTTTTGAGATTGGACACACTTAATATAGAATAATTTTGCCTGCATTTTACAGTAGCAAAAATAGACTAAAATTGCTTCCATGACCTAATGTTGGAATGCTTGCCTTTGCCATTAAAAAAAAAAACTGAGTGGTTTATTTTTGAAATGTTCATGTTTGTTTCTAAATGATGAAATTAGAAAAGGGTTTCAGGCTGCTCTCTCCCAGTTCTTCCCAGCAAAGAACACATTACAGGTATTAATGGTCTTTATACCCAATAAACTAGAGATGCAATTGCACATAACAGCCACTAGCTTCTTGAAGTATCAGAGATATTTTTGTTGTTGTTGACATAGAGATATTTTGAAGTGCTATATAAGAAGTTTTATTATGTAACTGCAACTTTTAGATCTCATGAACTCATCTTGAAGAGAATTTAGAGAATGTTCTTTCTGATGTTTTTCATAGTTTGTTGTATTTCAACGTGGGAATCTTCACGTGTCCCATCTTTTGCCATGAATCCAGTCCGGGTATAAATTCTAAGATATATGACCAAAAATAAAAACAACTTAAAATAGTATAACAGCTAATACCCCTACAGTGCATATTAGTAGTCCCCTGATACCCCAGCTGAATAAGAGCTTTAAGATAGTATTCCTGGCCAGGCGCAGTGGCTTGTGCCTTTAATTCCAGCACTTTGGGAGGCTGAGGTGGGAGGACGGCTTGAGCCTGGGAAGTTTGATCTCAACCTGACCAAGGCCAGCCCCATCGCTGCAGTGGACAGGAAATGTGAGAGGTGCTCCAGGCTCACAGAAGTGGGTCAGGGAAAAGACTGTTGGAATCCTATACTAACTCCAGGTGTCTGCAAACCCATAGTAACCCAGCCTTTAGCCCCAACCATTGGACAGTCCTATCTCATCTGCTAGGCTGAAGGCTCCCACATTTGTCCTCAACTCAGGTAAGACCTAGTCAACACAGAGCTATGACCTGTAATTCTTCCTGAAAGCTTCCAGGAAGAGAAGACACTTGAAAACAAAATACAGCTTTTTTTTTTTTTTAGAGTAGTTAGTTTCATGGGAAGATTGAGAGGAACATACAGAGATTTTTCATATATCCCCTGCCCCTACACATGCATAGGCTCTCCCATTATCAACGCTTTTCACTAGAGTGGTACATTTGTTACAACTGATGAACCTACACTGGTATATCATTATCACCCAGAGTCCGTAGTGTTTACATGAGGGTTCACTCTTGGTGTCATACATTCTATGGGTTTGGACAAATGTATGAGATGTATCTACCACTACAGTCATACAGAGTATTTCCACTGCCCTAAAAATCTCTCTGAGCACGGAAGACACTTTTTTTTCTGGAATCTTGGCATGTTGGAGAGGGTCTTCTGGTCAGACTGCCAATCTTCCTGATAAGGAATTTTTTTAAGTTTTTTATTTTTCCATAGGTTATTGGGGTACAGATGGCATTTGGTTACACGAGTAAGTTCTTTAGTGGTGATTTGTGATATTTTGGTGCACCCATCACCCAAGCAGTATATCCGATTTGTAGTCTTTTATCCCTTCCCCCGCTTCCACTCTTCCCCCCAAGTCCCCAAAGTCCATCGTATCATTCTTATGCCTTTGCGTCCTCATAGCTTAGCTCCCACATATCAGTGAGAACATAAGGTGTTTGGTTTTCCATTCCTGAGTTACTTCACTTAGAAAAATAGTCTCCAATCTCATCCAGGTCGCTGCAAATGCCATTAATTCATTCCTTTTTATGGCTGAGTAGTATTCCATCGTGTATATATATATATATATATATATATATATATATATATATATATATATATATATACCACAGTTTCTTTATCCACTCATTGAGTAATGGGCATTTCAGTTGGTCCCACGATTTTGCAATTGTGAATTGTGTTGCTATAAACATGTGTGTGCAAGTATCTTTTTCATATAATAACTTCTTTTCCTCTGTGTAGATACCCAGTAGTGGGATTGCTGGATCAAATGGCAGTTCTACTTTTAGTTATTTAAGGAATCTCCACACTGTTTTCTATAGGCTGTACTAGTTTACATTCCCACCACCAGTGTAAAAGTGTTCCCTGATCACCACATCCATGCCATCATCTACTATTTTTTATTTTTTGATTATGGCCAATTTTGCAGAAGTAAGGTGGTAACACATTGTGGTTTTGATTTGCATTTCCCTGATCATTAGTGATGTTGAGCATTTTTTCATGTTTGTTGGTCATTTGTATATCTTCTTTTGAGAATTGTCTATTCATGTCCTTAGCCCACTTTTTGATGGGATTGTTTTTTCTTACTGATTTGTTTGAATTTGTTGTAGATTCTGGATATGAGTCATTTGTCAGATGTATAGATTGTGAAGATTTTCTCCTACTATGCTTGTTGTCTGTTTGACAACTGTTCCTTTTGCTGTGCAAAAGCTCTTTAGTTTAATTAAGTCCCAACTATTTATCTTTGTTTTTATTGCATTTGCTTTTGGGTTCTTGACCGTAAAATCCCTGCCTAAGCCAATGTCTAGAAGGGTTTTTCCAACGTTATCTTCTAGCATTTTTATAGCTTCAGGTCTTATATTTAAGTGCTTAGTCCATCTTGAGTTGATTTTTGTATAAGGTGAGAGATGAGGATCCAGTTTCATTCTCCTACATGTGGCTAGCCAATTATCCCAGCACTATTTGCTGCAAAGGGTGTCCTTTCCCCACTTTTATGTTTTTGTTTGCTTTGTTGAAGGTCAGTTGGCTGTAAGTATTTGGGTTTATTTCTAGGTTCCCTATTCTGTTCCATTGGTCTATGTGCCTATTTTTATACCAGTACCATGCTGTTTTGGTGACTATGACCTTATAGTATAGTTTGAAATCAGTTAGTGTGATGCCTCCAGATCTGTTCCTTTTGCTTAGTCTTGCTTTGCCTATGCGGGCTCTTTTTTAGTTCCATATGAAATTTAGGATTGTTTTTTCTACTTCTGTGATGAATGATGGTGGTATTTTGATGGGGATTTCATTGAACATGTAGATTGCTTTTGTCAGTATAGTCATTTTCACAATATTGATTCTACTCATCCATGAGCATGGAATGGGTCATCTATGATTTCATTCAGCAGTGTTTTGTAGTTTTCCTTGTAGAGGTCTTTCGCTTCCTTTGTTGGGTATATTCTTAAGTATTTTATTTATTTATTCTTTTTTTTTTTTTGCAGCTATTGTAAAAGGGGTTGGGTTCTTGATTTGATTCACTGCTTGGTCGCTGTAGGTGTATAGAAGAGCTACTGATTTGTGTACATTAATCTTATATCCCAAAACTTTGCTGAATTCTTTTATCAGTTCTAGGAGCTTTCTGGAGGAGTCTTTAGGATTTTCAAGGTAAAGGATCATATTGTCAGCAAACAGTGACAGTTTGACTTCCTCTTTGTCGATTTTGATGCCCTTTATTTCTTTCTCTTGCCTGATTGCTCTGGCTAGGACCTCCAGTACTATGTTGAAAAGGAGTAGTGAGAGTGGGTATCCTTGTCTTGTTCCAGTTCTCAGAGGGAATGCTTTCAACTTTTTCCCATTCAATATGATGTTGGCTGTGGGTTTGTCATAGATGGCTTTTATTACATTTAGGTATGTCCCTTGTATGCTGATTTTGCTGAAAGTTTTAATCATAAAGGGATGCTGGATTTTGTCAAATGCTTTTTCTGCATCTACTGAGATGATCATGTGATTCTGGTTTTTAATTCTGTTTATGTGGTCTATCACATTTATTGACTTGTGTATGTTAAACCATCCCTGCATCCCTGGTATTAAAACCACTTGATCATGGTGGATTATCTTTTTGATATGCTGTTGGATTTGGTTAGCTAGTATTTTGTTAAGAATTTTAGCGTCTCTGTCCATCAAGGATATCGGTCCATAGTTTTCTTTTTTGATTATATCTTTTCCTGGTTTTGGTATAGGGTGATGCTGGTTTCATAGAATGAATTAGAAAGAGTTCCCTCTTTCTTGATCTTGTAGAATAGTGTCTAAAGAATTGGTATCAATTCTTCTTTGAATGTCTGGTAGAAGAACTCTGCTCTGAATCCATTTGGTCCTGGACTTCTTTTGTTGTTGGTAATTTTTTAATTACCACTTCAATCTTGCTGCTTGTTATCAGTCTGCTCAGGGTATCTAATTCTTCCTGATTTAAGCTAGGAGGGTTGTATTTTTCCAGGAATTTATCTATCTCTTCAAGGTTTTCTAGTTTATCTGCATAAAGGTGTTCACAGTAGCCTTGAATTATCTTTTGTATTTCAGTGGTGTCAGTTGTAATATCTCCTGTTTCATTTCTTAATGAAGTTATTTGGATTTTCTCTCTTCTTTTCTTGGTTAATCTTGCAACGGTCTATCAATTTTATTAAACTTTTCAAAGAACCTCATGTTTGTTTTATGTTTTGTATTTTTTTTGTTTCAATTTCATTTAGTTCTGCTCTGCTCTTGGTTATTTCCTTTCGTCTGCTGGGTTTGGGTTTGGTGTGCTCTTGTTTCTCTAGTTCCTTGAGGTGTGAGCTTAGAATATGAGTTTGTGCTCTTTCAATCTTTTTGATGTAGGCATTTAGGGCTACGAACTTTTCCTCTTAGCACCACCTTTGCTATACCCTGGAGGTTTTGATAGGTTGTATCGTTATTGTCATTCAGTTTGAATAATTTTTTAATTTCCATCTGGATTTTGGTTTTGACCTAATGCTCATTCAGGAACAGGTTATTTAACTTCCATGTATTTGCATGACTTTGAAGGCTCCTTTTGGAGTTGGTTTCCAGTTTTATTCCACTGTGGTCTGAGAGAGTACTTGATATAATTTCAATTTTCTTAAATCTATTGAGACTCATTTTATGGCCTATCATATGGTCTATCTTGGAAAAAGTTCCATGCACTGTTGAATAGAATGTGTATTCTGTGGTTGTTGGATGAAATGTTCTGTTTATATCTGTTAAGTCTATTTGTTCCAAGGTATAGTTTAAAACCATTGTTTCTTTGTTGACTTTCTGTTTCAATAACCTGTCTACTGCTGTCAGTGGAGTATTGAAGTCCCCCACTATTATTGTGTTGCTGTCTATCTCATTTCTTAGGTCTATTAGTAATCGTTTTATAAATTTGGGAGCTCCAGTGTTAGGTGTACATATGTTTAGGATTGTGATATTTTCCTGTTGGACAAGGCCATTTACCATTATATAATGTCCCTCTTTGTCTCTTTTAACTGCTGTTGCTTTAGAGTTTGTTTTGTCTGATACAAGAATGGCTACCCCTGCTCGCTTTTGGTGTCCATTTGAGTGAAATACCTTTTTCCACCCCTTTACTTGAAGTTTATGTGAGTCCGTATGTGTTAGGTGAGTCTCCCGCAGGCAGCAGAGAGTTAGTTGGTGAGTTCTTATCCATTCTGCAGTTCTGTATCTTTCAAGTGGAACATTTAGGCCATTTACAGTCAATGTTAGTATTGAGATGTGAGGTACCATTGCATTCATTGTGCTATTTGTTGCTTGCATACCTCGGTTTTTTTTTTGTTTTTGCTTTTTAACTTGCATTTTTGTTTTATAGGTTCTGTGTGATTTACGCTTTAAAGAGTTTCTGTTTGTATGTGTTTCCAGGATTTGTTTGAAGATTTAGAGCTCCTTTTAGCAGTTCTTATAGTGGTGGCTTGGTAGTGGCGAATTCTCTCAGCATTTGTTTGTCTGAAAAAGACTGCATCTTTCCTTCATATATGTTGCTTAGTTTTGCTGGATACAAAATTCTTGGCTGATAATTGTTTTGTTTGAGGAGGCTGAAGATAGGGCCCCAATCCCTTCTAGCTTTGCAGGGTTTCTGCTGGGAAATCTGCTGTTAATCTGATAGGTTTCCTTTATAGGTTACCTGAGTGTTTTTGTCTCACAGCTCTTAAAATTATTTTCTTTGTCTTAACTTTAGATAACCTGATGACAATATGCCTAGATGATGATCGTTTTGCGATGAATTTCCCAGCTGTTCTTTGTGCTTCTTTTATTTGCATGTCTAGGTCTCTAGCAAGGCCAGGGAAGTTTTCCTCGATTACTCCCCCAAATATGTTTTCAAAACTTTTAGATTTCTCTTCTTCCTCTGGAACACTGATTATTCTTAGGTTTGTTCCCTTAACATAATCCCAGACTTCTTGGAGGCTTTGTTCTTATTTTCTTATTGTTTTTCTTTGTCTTTGTTGGATTGGGTTAATTCCAAGACCTTGTCTTCGAGCTCTGAATTTCTTTTTCTACTTATTCAATTCCATTGCTGAGACTTTCCAGAGCATTTTGGATTTCTATAGGTGTGTCCAATATTTCCTGAAGTTTTGGTTGATTTTCTTTATGCTATCTATTTCCTTGAATATTTCTCCCTTCACTTCTTGCATCGTTTTTTGTATTTCCTTGCATTGGGCTTTGCCTTTCTCTGGTGCGTCCCTGATTGCTTGATAAGTAACCTCCTGAATTGTTTTTCAGGTAAATCAGGGATTTCTTCTTCTTGGTTTGGATCCACTGCTGGTGAGCAAGAGTGATTTTTGGGGGGTGTTAAAGAGCCTTGTTTTGTCATATTACCAGAGTTGGTTTTCTGGTTCCTTCTTATTTGGGTAGGCTCTGTCAGAGAGAAGGTTTAGGGCTGAGGGCTGTTGTTCAGATTCTTTTGTCCCATGGGGTGTTGCCTTGATGTAGTACTCTTCCTCTTTTCCTATGCATGTGGCTTCCTGTGAGCCAAGCTGCAGTGATTGTTATCTCTCTTCTGGGTCTAGCCACTTAGCAAGTCTACCCGGCTCTGGGCTGGTACTGGGGATTGTCTGCACATAGTCCTGTGATGTGAATCATCTATGGGTCTCTCAGTGTGGATACCAGTACCTGTTCCCATGGAGGTGGCAGGGGGTGAAATGGACTCTACGAGGTTGTCAGCTTTGGTGGTTTAATGTTCTATTTTTGTGCTGGTTGGCCTACTGCCAGGAGGTGGTGCTTTCCAGAAAGCATCAGCTGTGGTAGTATTGAGAGAAAATGGCAGTGGGCGGGGCCTTAAAACTCCCAAGAGTATATGCCCTTTGTCTTCAGCTACCAGGGTGCATAGGAAAGGCCCATCAGGTCGGGGCAGGGCTAAGCATGTCTGAGATCAGACTCTCCTTGGGCAGGTCTTGCTGTGGCTGCTGTGGGGTATGGGGGTGATGTTGCAAGGTCAATAGAGTAGTGTACCTAGCAGGATTATGGCTGCCTCTGCTGAGTCATGCAGGTTGTCAGGGAAGCGGGGGAAAGCCAGCAGTCACCAGCTTCACCCAGCTCCCACGCAAACCGAAGGGCCGATCTCACTCTCACCGTGCCCCTTCTAACAGCATTGTTTCTCTGCTCAGTTACACTACTATTGGCTGTTCTGGAAATCAGCAAACCAGTCAAATATGTTGTGTTCAATAGTTCCCTGGGGTTAGCAGACGTGGGCACACCTTAAAAACACAGTCAAGGTTGTCTTCAGCAACCTGTACCAGTCCTTTCTCTCTTCTGGTCCATCTGAAGTAGGTATTTTGTTTACAAATATTTCTCCAGCATCACACTCAGGAAATCTAAGATTAAATAAAAACTAAAAAGATGGTATTTCTGAAACATATTTCCTATAACATGTCCATCAAACAGAGAATGAAGAAATTGGAAGGATGAAAATGGAAGGAGGGATGGGGCATCAGTTGAGACAGAATGGGGGGTGGTACATTTTATGAATCCTCATTCCTACAAAATGAACCGCAAAGGCAGAGGCTTCTGTGTCTCTTGTATCTCCCCACATGCCCATCATGCTTTTTAAAAATCAGGCATTAAGAATTTGGGAATAGAAGGGACATTCATTTATTAAACATCATCTAAAATCAAGAGTCTAATCTTTAAAAACCTTCTTCAGTGGAGGGAGCTCACAGCCCTCTGACATGGGGGGAAGCTTATCTTCAGGCACACAAAATGGCAGAGGCCAGCAGGGGGCAGCAGCACAGCAGGAATATTGAGGCAAGCCTGGGGTATTGGGATGCAGCCAATGAAAAGTTGGCCAACAGGAAAATCATTGTCCTCTGCCCTTGGAAGAGCTTGATTAGAACCTGGAGCTTCACATAATAATCAAGATAAGAAATTTGGTGAAGTTCAATTTTCTTTTAAATTTTTGTCATGAAAAATTTCAAACACACACACACAGAATTAAAGAGAAAAGTATAGTGAACCAATATGTCCATTCCCCAGATTCATCATTATCAACATTCTGCCATACTTCCTCACCTGAACCTATTTTCTTTCTTTCTTTCTTATTTTAGAGACAATTGGAGTTTTAAATTTTAAAGTGTGTGTTCTTTCAAGGTGAGATTTGGTGAGTAGTCAAGCTCTAGTATAGTCCCACACTGCCATGAAGGACGTAAGCTCCTTTTATCCTTCTGCTCTGACACCCTTAGGTTACCTCATGGTGGCAAGATGGCAGCTGCACTTCTGGGAATCACATCCACATCCCAGGCAGAAGGCTGGGTGTAGTGGCTCATGCCTGTAGTCTCAGCACTTTGGGAGACCAAGGCGGGCAGATCACTTGAGATCAGGAGTTCAAGATCAGCCTGGTCAACATGGTGAAATCCTATCTCTACTAAAAATTCAAAAATTAGCTGGGCCTGGTGGTGGGCGTCTGTAATCCCAACTACTCAGGAGTCTGAGGAGGGAAAATCACTTGAACTCGGGAGGCAGAGTTTGCAGTGGGACTCCATCTCAAAAACAAACAAACAAAAAAACAACCATTCCAGGCAAAAAGAAGGAAGACCCAGGTTAAAAGGCAAATGTTAAAAGGCTACTTTCAGCATGAGAGAAAAAGACAGGGTGCTGGGGGAGCAGTAAAATTCAGGGACCACCACATGGAAATTCTAATTCAGCACCAAACAAATGTGAAGCTCAGAGGTAAGATAAGCTTAAAAAGCCACCTATGAAATAGGAGAGAATACTAGGAAGTCCAGCTCAGGAAAAATGCAACTGACATTTGTGTATCACTTCTTATAGCTTGCGATGAGATCAAGACTATACATGTTATCTCATTAAATTTGTCACAGCAACCCAATCGAGTAGGTTAAATAATTTTACAGATGATGAAATGAGACCTCAAGAGACCTCGTAACTTTCTCAAGGCTACAGAGCTGGTAAATAGTGGGTCCAAAATGATCTGCTCCTTATTGTCCTAATTTCCTTATTACTGATTCTTTCAGAGATATAATATGTGTTCCTCATGAAAAAAATCTGTAATCCTCACCATCGAAGGCCACTACTGCATATACTTGATTCCAAACCAGGAGCACAAAGGTGCGCATTCTTCTCGGGTCCATTGCAGTACACTGTTCAGCAAGCTGCAGTCCTAGCTGCGCCTTTAGTACGGGGGAAGCGGGGGTCCTGGATGAGGGTCTGGGCTGGGATGAGAGACCCTCATCCCCCAGCTCAGACACATCTGCTTTAAGAAATGGCTCACGCCTGTAATCCTAGCACTTTGGGAAGCCGAGGCTGGTGGATCATGAGGTCAAGAGATTCAGACCATCCTGGTCTACATGGTGATACCCCGTCTCTACTAAAAATACAAAAAAAATTAGCTGGGCGTGGTGGCGCATGCTTGTAGTCCCAGCTACTCGGGAGGCTGAGGCAGGAAAATTGGTTGAACCCGGGAGGCAGAGGTTACAGTGAGTCAAGATAGCACCACTGCACTCCAGCCTGGTGACAGAGCAAGACTCAGTCTCAAAAAAAAAAAAAAAAAAAGAAAGAAAAAAGAAATGGAGTAAAACTTCCTTGAAGCCACTGCTCTTCCGCTCTTTCCAATAAAAGGAAATGCACGTAGATCCACTGGGCTCAGAGTGACCTCCTGTCAAGGACTTCTAAATTGTCTTCAAAGATGGAAAATATTGCTTTGTACACAGCTCTTGGGATGGATTAATCATGAGCTGAATTTCACATAAAAGCAGAGACAAGAGACTTGATGCAGTCCAACATTCTTCCTTAACTTTTTTATTAAGAAAGTTTTCAAAAGTACACAAAAGAAAAGAGAATAATATAAAAAAACTCAATACACCCATCCTTGGATTCAACAATTATTCACTTTTTGCTCCAGTTGCTTCATGTCTTCCTTTTGGTCAGCCTTCTTTTTTTGTGAATATTTCTTAAAATCCCTGTCATCAGGCCATTTCACCCCAAAGTCCTTCCATATATCTCTCTAATAGACTTTTTATGTATAAACACAAAACCTTTATCACAATCAGTGGTATTAATACTCACTTTATATTCAAATTTTCGGCTGAGCATGGTGGCTCATGCCTGTAATTCCAGCACTTTGGGAGGCCGAGGCAGGTGGATCATTTGAGGTCAGGGGTTCGAGACCAGCCTGGCCAACATGGTGAAACCCCGTCTCTACTAAAAATACAAAAATTAGCCGGGTATGGTGGCGGAAGCTAGTAGTTCCAGCTACTTGGGAGGCCGAGGCAGGAAAATCACTTTAACCTGGGAGCCAGAGGTTGCAGTGAGCCGAGATCATGCCATTGCACTCCAGCCTGGGTGACAGAACAAGACTCTGTCTCAAAAAAAAAAAAAAAAAAAAAAAAATCAATTGTTTCAAAAATGTCTTTTTATAATTGGTTTCTTCAAAACAGGACCTAAACAAAATCAGGTCACTGCATTTGACTGTTATGTTGCTTAAATTTCTTCTAGCCTAGAGTAGTGTTACCAACTTACTGCCAGCAAGGTTCTCTAATTTCTTGAGTTCTTCAACTGTGTTCTTCCTCACCTCCACATCTCGGTACTTGCTGTACTTTCTGCCTAAAAGATGTCCCCTGGCCCATACATTGCCCCAAAATCTTCTGCTTGTCCTTCAGCTTTCAAATGAGATATTCTTGCTGGTATAACGTAGCCCTCTGTCAGAGCTTCTTTTGTTAAGCCCTTTGATTGTGATCCTAGTGTGCGTATTGATTACTATATTTATCAAGAGTTTTTGCATCATATGGAAAATGGCTACCAATGGGACTGGGCAAAAAATTCAGTCTGTTAAATGCAGACTCTGATTCCACAGTTCTGGGATGAGGTGTGAGGATCTGCATTCCTCACAGGCTCCCTGGTGATGTCAATGCAGCTTGTCTAAAGACTGCACAATGAGTGGTGACAGGCTAGATCATTCCCCACTTCCTCTATCTAAGTGTGGTAACACTTACCACACTGTATTGCAATGGTTTCTTTGAATATCTGTCTTCCCTCTAGAACAGGGGTTTGTAAACTATTGGAACAAAGCCATACCCATTTGTTAATGTCTTGTATGTGACTGCTTTTGAGCTATAACATCAGAGTTGAGCAGTTGCAAGAGAGACCATATGGCCCACAAAGTCTGAAATATTTACCATCTGGCTCTTAATGGAAAAAGTTTGCCAACCCTTCCTTTAGACTGTAGTGCAGGGAGATAGTTTTTTCTTTTTCTTTTCCTTTTTTTTTTTTTTTTTTTTTTTTTTTGAGACAGAGTCTTGCTCTGTCGCCCAGGCTGGAGTTCAGTGGCGCAATCCTCTCTCACTGCTACCTCCACCTCCTGGGCTCAAGCGATTCTCCTGCCTCAGTCTCCTGAATAGCTAGGATTATAGGCACCCGCCATCCCACCCAGCTAACTTTTGTGTTTTTAGTAGAGATGGGGTTTCACCATGTTGGCCAGGCTGGTCTCGAACTCCTGACCTCCGGTAATCCGCCCACCTCGGCCTGCCAAAGTGCTGGGATTATAGGCATGAGCCACCGTGCCTGGCCAGGAGAGAGCTTTTTCATTAGAATATCTCAGACCCAAGTCAAAGACCCTGCACATAATAGGGACTGAGTAAGTAAGTTACTGAACGATGAATAATGAGAGTAACCGACAATAAGTGAGCGCTTACTACATGCCAGGAATTATACTAAATGTTTTATATGCAGCATCTCATTTAATTCCATGCTAACTCTATGCAGGGGGAAGACTATTCTCATGTTTCAGGTAAAGAAACAGAGGCTTAGAGGTTCCTTTCCTATCCATGTTGAAAGGACTCACAAGCCCATGTAATCTGACTCTAGCACACTTTAACAGTTGAAAAGTTGCTCATGGAAAGGTTAAGCAAAACCTGTTTATCCTGGGCCCATTTGAGGCAGACTGAGTCACTGTCTCTGTGAAAATGACTACCAACGGGACTGGGCAAAAAATATTAAAACATTCTTACAGTTTAAATCAAAAGACGCCAGGTTAATTGAACATACACACACATAAAACACCTTCTTTGTAGTAAATACTATCCAATTACAGTGGACCCAGCCATTCTTCGAAGAGTCCAAAGAGTGACCTGTACTTAAGAGAATTATAAGATTATAAACTACCTAGGGACTTCTTTCCCTTGGAAGCTCTTTCTTCACCCTGCACACCCCAAAAACTGTCTCCAGTACAGCACCTTGCTCAGTCTTGAGCCACTGTAGGCACTTGATAAGAGAGAGCCTACATGGAAGAATGAAGCAGGTGAAATCTATTAAACTTGAGAAAGCTTCTCGTACATGCTACTTCATTTTCTAGTACCATAATTCCCAGAAGATAGGGAGAAGGGTGGCAACTTGTTTAACCCTTTATTATTATTATTATTATTATTTTGAGATAGATCTCATTCTGTTGAGCAGTGGTGTGATCTCAACTCACAGCAGCCTCAACCTCCTGGGCTCAATCAATCCTCTAGCATCAGGCTCCCAAGTAGCTGGGACTACAGGTGTGCACCACCACACCCAGCTAATTTTTTTTTTATTTTTTATAGAGATGGGGTTTAGCCATGTTACCCGGGCTGGTTTTGAGTTCCTGGGCTTAAGCAATCCTCCTGCCTCAGTCTCCCAAAGTGCTGAGATTATAGGTATGAGCCACTGTGCCCAGCCTTATTATTATTTTATTAAAAGCCAAAGGCTAAAGTGACTCAGCCAGTGTTTCGTGGAATAGTAATAATTCTAGGAGTGAAATGCACGTGTCTTATGTTCCAATATAGTGAGAAAGAGAAGTTCAAATACAGCTAGAAATAATGAAAGAGAAAGAGAAACACAGGGAATGGTGAAAAAGAGAAAAACACATACAAGGCAGATACTAGCCTGCCAGAGCAACTGAGCAAGTCCAGAAGCCATGGTGAGAAATTAGTCTGGAACACAAGACTCTTTGATTATGATCCTAGTTTGCATATTGATTACTATATTTGTTAAGAGCTTTGGGATCTTATGGAAAAAAGAAACTGGGATATACATTTCAAAAACTCTCATAATGATTATTATCATTGAAGGGATTCCATGGGGAAAAAAGAGTCACCCCTCTTCTTAATCTGGAGAATAACACTGACATCTAGTCTCAAAACTGCCCTTTGAACAGACCATTTTCCTGCCCTTGTGGAGAATTCTGTTTGTGGCTCTAAATGTTCCTCTCATTCAGAAATTCAAGGTTTGATAATGAAGGAGTTGAAGTCTTGAGGAGCCTCCTTTTGATCAAATTTGACTGCAACCAGTCTGTTCTCTAGGAATTCAGAGAGAATGTAAGCATGATTACCTAACTTTACAGTTTAAAAAAGAATTCCTTAGACTCTGCTTTCATACAAGATAAAGTAACAGGGACTGGCTTAACTCTCCAGCCTAAATCAATCAAAAAAGTAGACATTATATGAAATAATCATATTCAAGTCACTGTACATCAGAAAATGAAGCACAGCAATCCCAGTGAGACTGTGAGCCCACAGCTGCCCTCAGCTTATGGTTCTGAAAGAGCTTCCAAGGCGTGATGCAGGAAGCGGGGACCTAAGCAGAGGTCAGCGGACTCCTGATTTAAAGAGACTGACCTGAGAGTCTGAGGGAGACCAAGGCAGTTAGAACTGTTAGGACACAGGACCAGAAAGTTAAAAGCTGCACGAGAGAATGTGGAGGTCAGCAGAGGATCTGCCTTGAGAATTCAGGAATGTACTGATCATCAGTCACATTTATGTAAGGAAACTACCCAAGGCCAGGGAAAGAACCAAATGAAAGAATTCTTGGAAAAGTGGAAACCTCAGAATTGACAGGGCACTGGATAGATGACTCAGAAGGGTCTTGGGACCAGGTCCTACCTAAAGAATCTCAAAAGAGTTTGAATGGATCAAACTGCTTCAAATTACCTAGTTGTATCCCAAAACTAAGCTCAATAATATTGTTAGGAAGACACAAATGTACTATACCTAATAAACAATGTAAAATTCACAATGTCTGGCATTCATTCAAAAATTACCAGGCATCCAAAGAAGTAGGAAAATATGACCCCCATAATGAGAAGAATAATCAATCAATCAAAACCAACCAAGAAAAGATTCATATTATAATTAGCCAACAAGGCCATTAAAAATAGTCATTATAACTGTATTTCATATATGTTCAAAAGCTTAGGTAGACAGATGAAAGAAATAAGAATGACCCTAGTTAAACTTGGATACATAAAAACTACAGTGTCTGAGATGACTAAAAATTGGATGGAATTAATGGCAGATTAGATATTTCAGAAGAAAAGATTAGGGAACTTAAAAGATATAATAAGAGAGACACGGGGGAGGAGCCAAGATGGCCGAATAGGAACAGCTCCGGTCTACAGCTCCCAGTGTGAGCGACGCAGAAGACGGGTGATTTCTGCATTTCCATCTGAGGTACCAGGTTCATCTCACTAGGGAGTGCCAGACAGTGGGCGCAGGTCAGTGGGTGCACGCACCGTGCGCGAGCCGAAGCAGGGCGAGGCATTGCCTCACTTGGGAAGCGCAAGGGATCAGGGAGTTCCCTTTCCGAGTCAAAGAAAGGGGTGACGGACTCACCTGGAAAATCAGGTCACTCCCACCCGAATATTGCGCTTTTCGGACCGGCTTAAAAAACGGCACACCACGAGATTATATCCGGCACCTGGCTCGGAGGGTCCTACGCCCACAGAGTCTTGCTGATTGCTAGCACAGCAGTCTGAGATCAAACTGCAAGGCGGCAGCGAGGCTGGGGGAGGGGCGCCCGCCATTGCCCAGGCTTGCTTAGGTAAACAAAGCAGCCAGGAAGCTCGAACTGGGTGGAGCCCACCACAGCTCAAGGAGGCCTGCCTGCTTCTGTAGGCTCCACCTCTGGGGGCAGGGCACAGACAAACAAAAAGACAGCAGTAACCTCTGCAGACTTAAATGTCCCTGTCTGACAGCTTTGAGGAGAGCAGTGGTTCTCCCAGCATGCAGCTGGAGATCTGAGAATGGGCAGACTGCCTCCTCAAGTGGGTCCCTGACCCCTGACCCCCGAGCAGCCTAACTGGAAGGCACCCCCCAGAAGGGGCACACTGACATCTCACACGGCAGGGTATTCCAACAGACCTGCAGCTGAGGGTCCTGTCTGTTAGAAGGAAAACTAACAAACAGAAAGGACATCCACACCAAAAACCCATCTGTACATCACCATCATCAAAGACCAAAAGTAGATAAAACCACAAAGATGGGGAAAAAACAGAACAGAAAAACGGGAAACGCTAAAACGCAGAGCGCCTCTCCTCCTCCAAAGGAACGCAGTTCCTCACCAGCAACGGAACAAAGCTGGATGGAGAATGACTTTGACGAGCTGAGAGAAGAAGGCTTCAAAGGATCAAATTACTCTGAGATACGGGAGGACATTCAAACCAAAGGCAAAGAAGTTGAAAACTTTGAAAAAAAATTTATAAGAATGTATAACTAGAATAACCAATACAGAGAAGTGCTCAAAGGAGCTGATGGAGCTGAAAACCAAGGCTCGAGAACTATGTGAAGAATGCAGAAGCCTCAGGAGCCGATGCGATCAACTGGAAGAAAGGGTATCAGCAATGGAAGATGAAATGAATGAAATGAAGTGAGAAGGGAAGTTTAGAGAAAAAAGAATAAAAAGAAATGAGCAAAGCCTCCAAGAAATATGGGACTATGTGAAAAGACCAAATCTACGTCTGATTGGTGTACCTGAAAGTGATGGGGAGAATAGAACCAAGTTGGAAAACACTCTGCAGGATATTATCCAGGAGAACTTCCCCAATCTAGCAAGGCAGGCCAACGTTCAGATTCAGGAAATACAGAGAACACCACAAAGATACTCCTCGAGAAGAGCAACTCCAAGACACATAATTGTCAGATTCACCAAAGTTGAAATGAAGGAAAAAATGTTAAGGGCAGCCAGAGAGAAAGGTCGGGTTACCCTCAAAGGGAAGCCCATCAGACTAACAGCGGATCTCTCAGCAGAAACCCTACAAGCCAGAAGAGAGTGGGGGCCAATATTCAACATTCTTAAAGAAAAGAATTTTCAACCCAGAATTTCATGTCCAGCCAAACTAAGCTTCATAAGTGAAGGAGAAATAAAATCCTTTACAGACAAGCAAATGCTGAGAGATTTTGTCACCACCAGGCCTGCCCTAAAAGAGCTCCTGAAGGAAGCGCTAAACATGGAGAGGAACAACCAGTACCAGCCGCTGCAAAATCATGCCAAAATGTAAAGACCATCGAGGCTAGGAAGAAACTGCATCAACTAACGAGCAAAATCACCAGCTAACATCATAATGACAGGATCAAATTCACACATAACAATATTAACTTTAAATGTAAATGGACTAAATGCTCCAATTAAAAGACACAGACTGGCAAATTGGATAAAGAGTCAAGACCCATCAGTGTGCTGTATTCAGGAAACCCATCTCATGTGCAGAGACACACATAGGCTCAAAATAAAAGGCTGGAGGAAGATCTACCAAGCCAATGGAAAACAAAAAAAGGCAGGGGTTGCAATCCTAGTCTCTGATAAAACAGACTTTAAACCAACAAAGATCAAAAGAGACAAAGAAGGACATTACATAATGGTAAAGGGATCAATTCAACAAGAAGAGCTAACTATCCTAAATATATATGCACCCAATACAGGAGCACCCAGATTCATAAAGCAAGTCCTGAGTGACCTACAAAGAGACTTAGACTCCCACACATTAATAATGGGAGACTTTAACACCCCACTGTCAACATTAGACAGATCAACAAGACAGAAAGTCAACAAGGATGCCCAGGAATTGAACTCAGCTCTGCACCAAGCAGACCTAATAGACATCTACAGAACTCTCCACCCCAAATCAACAGAATATACATTTTTTTCAGCACCACACCACACCTATTCCAAAATTGACCACATACTTGGAAGTAAAGCTCTCCTCAGCAAATGTAAAAGAACAGAGATTATAACAAACTATCTCTCAGACCACAGTGCAATCAAACTAGAACTCAGGATTAAGAATCTCACTCAAAACCACTCAACTACATGGAAACTGAACAACCTGCTCCTGAATGACTACTGGATACATAATGAAATGAAGGCAGAAATAAAGATGTTCTTTGAAACCAACGAGAACAAAGACACAACATACCAGAATCTCTGGGATGCATTCAAAGCAGTGTGTAGAGGGAAATTTATAGGACTAAATGCCCACAAGAGAAAGCAGGAAAGATCCAAAATTGGCACCCTAACATCACAATTAAAAGAACTAGAAAAGCAAGAGCAAACACATTCAAAAGCTAGCAGAAGGCAAGAAATAACTAAAATCAGAGCAGAACTGAAGGAAATAGAGACATAAAAAACCCTTCAAAAAATTAATGAATCCAGGAGCTGTTTTTTTGAAAGGATCAACAAAATAGATAGACCGCTAGCAAGACTAATAAAGAAAAAAAGAGAGAAGAATCAAATAGACACAATAAAAAATGATAAAGGGGATATCACCACCAATCCCACAGAAATACAAACTACCATCAGAGAATACTACAAACACCTCTACGCAAATAAACTAGAAAATCTAGAAGAAATGGATAAATTCCTCGACACATACACTCTCCCAAGAGTAAATCAGGAAGAAGTTGAATCTCTGAATAGACCAATAACAGGAGCTGAAATTGTGGCAATAATCAGTAGTTTACCAACCAAAAAGAGTCCAGGACCAGATGGATTTACAGCCGAATTCTACCAGAGGTACAAGGAGGAACTGGTACCATGCCTTCTGAAACTATTCCAATCAATAGAAAAAGAGGGAATCCTCCCTAACTCATTTTATGAGGCTAGCATCATTCTGATACCAAAGCTGGGCAGAGACACAACCAAAAAAGAGAATTTTAGACCAATATCCTTGATGAACATTGATGCAAAAATCCTCAATAAAATACTGGCAAAACGAATCCAGCAGCACATCAAAAAGCTTATCCACCATGATCAAGTGGGCTTCATCCCTGGGATGCAAGGCTGGTTCAATATACGCAAATCAATAAATGTAATCCAGCATATAAACAGAGCCAAAGACAAAAACCACATGATTATCTCAACAGATGCAGAAAAGGCCTTTGACAAAATTCAACAACCCTTCCTGCTAAAAACTCTCAATAAATTAGGTATTGATGGGACGTATTTCAAATTAATAAGAGCTATATATGACAAACCCACAGCCAATATCATACTGAATGGACAAAAACTGGAAGCATTACCTTTGAAAACTGGCACAAGACAGGGATGCCCTCTCTCACCACTCCTATTCAACATAGTGTTGGAAGTTCTGGCCAGGGCAATTAGGCAGGAGAAGGAAATAAAGGGTATTCATTTAGGAAAAGAGGAAGTCAAATTGTCCCTGTTTGCAGACGGCATGATTGTATATCTAGAAAACCCCATTGTCTCAGCCCAAAATCTCCTTAAGCTGATAAGCAACTTCAGCAAAGTCTCAGGATACAAAATCAATGTGCAAAAATCACAAGCATTCTTATACACCAACAACAGACAAACAGAGAGCCAAATCATGAGTGAACTCCCATTCACAATTGCTTCAAAGAGAATTAAATACCTAGGAATCCAATTTACAAGGGATGTGAAGGACCTCTTCAAGGAGAACTACAAACCACTGCTCAAGGAAATAAAAGAGGATACAAACAAATGGAAGAACATTCCATGCTCATGGGTAGGAAGAATCAATATCATGAAAATGGCCATACTGCCCAAGGTAATTTACAGATTCAATGCCATCCCCATAAAGCTACCAACGACTTTCTTCACAGAATTGGAAAAAACTACTTTAAAGTTCATATGGAACCAAAAAAGAGCCCGCATCGCCAAGGCAATCCTAAGCCAAAAGAACGAAGCTGGAGGCATCACACTACCTGACTTCAAACTATACTACAAGGCTACAGTAACCAAAACAGCATGGTACTGGTACCAAAACAGAGATATAGATCAATGGAACAGAACAGAGCCCTCAGAAATAACGCCGCATATCTACATCTATCTGATCTTTGACAAACCTGACAAAAACAAGCAATGGGGAAAGGATTCCCTATTTAATAAATGGTGCTGGGAAAACTGGCTAGCCATATGTAGAAAGCTGAAACTGGATCCCTTCCTTACAACTTATACAAAAATCAATTCAAGATGGATTAAAGACTTAAACGTTAGACCTAAAACCATAAAAACCCTAGAAGAAAACCTAGGCATTACCATTCAGGACATAGGCATGGGCAAGGACTTCATGTCCAAAACACCAAAAGCAATGGCAACGAAAGCCAAAATTGACAAATGGGATCTAATTAAACTAAAGAGCTTCTGCACAGCAAAAGAAACTACCATCAGAGTGAACAGGCAACCTACAAAATGGGAGAAAATTTTCGCAACCTACTCATCTGACAAAGGGCTAATATCCAGAATCTACAATGAACTCAAACAAATTTACAAGAAAAAAACAAACAACCCCATCAACAAGTGGGCGAAGGACATGAACAGACACTTCTCAAAAGAAGACATTTATGCAGCCAAAAAACACATGAAAAAATGCTCATCATCACTGGCCATCAGAGAAATGCAAATCAAAACCACAATGAGATACCATCTCACACCAGTTAGAATGGCAATCATTAAAAAGTCAGGAAACAACAGGTGCTGGAGAGGATGTGGAGAAATAGGAACACTTTTACACTGTTGGTGGGACTGTAAACTAGTTCAACCGTTGTGGAAGTCAGTGTGGCGACTCCTCAGGGATCTAGAACTAGAAATACCATTTGACCCAGCCATCCCATTACTGGGTATATACCCAAAGGACTATAAATCATGCTGCTATAAAGACACACGCACACGTATGTTTATTGCGGCATTATTCACAATAGCAAAGACTTGGAACCAACCCAAATGTCCAACAATGATAGACTGGATTAAGAAAATGTGGCACATATACACCATGGAATACTATGCAGCCATAAAAAATGATGAGTTCAAGTCCTTTGTAGGGACACGGATGAAATTGGAAATCATCATTCTCAGTAAACTATCGCAAGAACAAAAAACCAAACACCGCATATTCTCACTCATAGGTGGGAATTGAACAATGAGATCACATGGACACAGGAAGGGGAATATCACACTCTGGGGACTGTTGTGGGGTGGGGGGCAGGGGGAGGGATAGCATTGGGAGATATACCTAATGCTAGATGACGAGTTAGTGGGTGCAGCGCACCAGCATGGCACATGTATACATATGTAACTAACCTGCACAATGTGCACATGTACCCTAAAACTTAAAGTATAATAAAATAAATAAATAAATAAATAAAAAGATATAATAATAGAAACTACCAAATGAAACAGAAAAAAATAATACATTTTAAAAATAAGCTGTAAAACAACTTGAAGCATCCTAATAAACATGTAATTTGAAGTCAAAGGCAGAGATTGTCAGATTAATGAAAAAAGTGAGATATGGCTATTTGCTACCTGTAAGAAACACATATTCATTTCAAAGACACAAACAGGTTAAAAGAATGGGAAAAGATATATCACGCTATACTCATCAAAAAAAGCTGGAGGCCGGGTTCAGTGGCTCACGCCTGTAATCCCAGCACTTTGGGAGGCCAAGGCAGGTGGATCACCTGAGGTCAGGAGTTTGAGACCAGCCTGGCCAACACGGTGAAACCCTGTCTTTACTAATAATACAAAAATTAGCTGGGTGTGGTGGCGCATGCCCCTAATCCCATCTACTAGAGAGGCTAAGGCAGGAGAATCACTTGAGCCTGGGAGGTGGAGGTTGCAGTGAGCTGAGATTACGCCATTGCCCTCCAGACTGGGCGACAAGAGCGAAACTCCATCTTCAAAAAAAAAGAGAAAGAAACTGGAGTGACTAGATTAGTATCAATAATATTCACAGCAAAGTATATAACCCGTGGTAAAAGAGGTCATTTCATAATGATGAAGGGATCAATTCATCAAGAGGACATAACAATAATAAAGGTTTATGCATTTAATAACAGAGCTTTAAAATACACGTAATAAAAGCTGATAGGCTGGGCAAATGGTTCACATCTGTAATCCCAACACTTTGAAAGGCTGAGGCAGGAGGATCGCTTGAGCCCAGGAGTTTGAGGCCAGCGTGGGCAACATAGTAAGACCCTGTCTGTACAAAATATAAATCTTAAAAAATTATTTTTAAATACTATTGGTATGTTGGCACATGCCTGTAGTACCAGCTACTTGAGAGTCTGAGGTGAGAGGATAACTTGAACCCAGATCGAGGCAGCAGTGAGCCATGATCATGTCACTGCACTCCAGCCTAAGCAAAAGAGTGAGACATTGTCTAAAAAAAAAAAAAGAAAAAGAAAAAGAAAAGAAAAAAACAAAAGAAAACTGATAGAACTGCAAGGATAGGCAAATCCATAACTATAATCAGAGATTTTAATAGCCTCTCTCAGTAACTAATAGAACAAATGGAGATAAAATCAGTAAAATTAGAAAATACTTGAACACCACAAGTAACCACCTTGACCTAATTGACACTCCACCCAACAACAGCAGAATTTACCTTTTTTTCAAGTGCACAGAAAAAGTTACCATGATAGACCATATTCTAGGCCATAAAATAAAAGGATTCAAATCATGTAAAATATATGATCTCTGACCACAGTAGAATTCAATTAGCAAGATCTATGGAAAATTTCTCATTATCTGAAAATTAAGTAACACACTTCTAAATAATCCATGAGTCAGAGAAGAAATCAGATGGAAAATTAGAAAGTATTTTAAACCGAACAAAAATTAAAAGACAACATATCAAAATTTGGAGGATGCTACAAAAGCATTACATAGGGGGAGATTTACAGCTTTAAATGCTTAAATTTGAAAATGAAAAAAGTATTATACCAATTACCTCAATTTTTGCCTTAAGAAGCTAGAAAAAGAGGAGGAAATTAACCCAAAATAAACAGAAGAAATGAAATAATAACAAAGTAAAAATCAGTGAAAAGATAGAAAAACAATAGAGAAAATCAGGAAAACTAAAAGCTAGTTTTATGCAAAGATCAATAAAATTTATAGACATCTAGCCAGATTGATCAGGAAAAAAAAAAAAGTAAAAATTGACAATATCAGGAATGAGAAGAGGAGGTGGAGCAAGATGGCCGAACAGAAGCCTCCAGCAATCATCCCCAAAATAGGAACACCAAATTGAACCACTATCCACACAAAAAACACCTTCATAAAATTAGGTCAGTAGTCACAGTACCTGGCTTTAGTATATCAAAGAAAGAGGCACTGAAGTAGGCAGGAAAGACAGTCTTGATTCACCTCACCCCCAACTCCAGCTGGTGAGACAACAGCTGGGGAAGTCAAGGGCATGCTTGTGCCACTCCTTCCCCCAAACCCAGGCAACTCAGCTCGCAGCACTGGGAGAAACTCCTTCCTCATGCTTGAGGAGAAGGGGGACATAAAAAGGACTTTGTCTCGCAACTTGGGTAACAGCTCAGCCACAGTAGAATAGGGCACCAAGTAGAGTCGTAGGGCCTGAGTTTCAGACCATATCTCCCAGACAACATTTTTAGACATACCCTGGGCCAGAAGAGAACACACTGCCTTGAAGGAAAGGGCCCAGTCCTAGCAGGATTCATTACCTGCTGACTAAAGAGCTCTTGGGCCCTGAATAACCAGCAGTGGTAGCCAGGCAGTACTCACCACAGGTCACGGGTGACACTCAGAGCCATGCTGACTTCAGGTGTGATGCAGCACACTCCTAGCTGCATCCTCCTGCTCGAGGAAAAGAGAGGGAAGAGTAAAGGGTACTTTGTTCTACAGCTTGGGTACCAGCTCGGCCACAGTGGGGTAGAATACCAGGTAGGCTTCTAGAGTCCCCTGTTCCAGGCCTTGGTTCCTGGATAGTATTTCTAGACCCACCCTGGGCCACAGGGGAGCCCACTGCCCTGAAAGGAGAGACTCAAGACTGGCAGCATTCACCACAAACTGACTAAAGAACCCTTGGGCCTTGAGGCAGCCAGGCAGTAGTTACTGCGGGCCTTGGGAGAAACCCAGGGCTATGCTGGCCTTGTGTCTGACCCAGCACAGTCCTAGTAGTGGTGACCACAGGGGTGCTTGTGTCCCTTGTCCCCCAGCTCCAGGCAGCTCAGAACAAAGAGAGAGAGGCTCTTTTTGTTTGAGGGAAAGTAAGGGAAGAGAACAAGAGTTTCTGCCTGGTAATCCAGGTAATTCTCCCAGGTCTTACCCAAGACCATCAAGGTAGTACTTCCACAAGTCTGCAAGAGCCACAGCATTACTGGGCTTGGAGTGGCCCCTAAGGCAGATATGGCTGCAGTGACCACAGTCTTAAATCACAATACCCAAGTCCCTTTGAATACTGGAAAGCCTTCCCAAGAAGGACAAGAACAAATAAACTCATACTGGGAATACTACAATAAATATCTAACTCTTCAGTGCCCAGATACTGAAAAACATTCACAAGCATCAAGACCATGCAGTAAAACATGACTTCACCGAATGAGCTAAACAAGGTACCAGTGACCAATCCTGGAGAGACAGAAGTATGTGACCTCTCACAGAGAATTTAAAATAGCTGTTTTGAGGAAGCTCAATGAAATTCAAGGTAATACAGAGAAGGAATTCAAAATCCTAATGGACAAATTTAACAAAGATATTGAAATAATTCAAAAGAAGTAAGCAGAAATTCTGGAGCTAAAAAATATGCAAACAACATACTGAAGAATGCATCACAGTCCTTTAATAGCAGAATTGATCAAGCAGAAGAAAGAACTAGTGAGCTTAAAGACAGGCTACTTGAAAAGACTAGTCAGAGGAGACAAAAGAAAAAATAATAAAAAGCGGGATCTAGAAAATAGCCTCAAAAGGGCAAATCTGGCTGGGCACAGTGGCTCACGCCCATAATCCCAACACTTTGGGAGTCTGAGGTGGGTGGATCAGTTGAGGTCAGGAGTTCGAGACCAACCTGGCCAACATGGTGAAACCCCGTCTCTACTAAAAATACAAAAATTAGCCGGGTTTGGTGGTAGACGCCTGTAATCCCATCTACTTGGGAGGCTGAGGCAGGAGAATCACTTGAACCCGGGAGGCAGATGTTGCAGTGAGCCGAGATCGCGCCACTGCACTCCAGCCTAGGCGACAAGAGCGAGACTCCGTCTCAAAAAACAAATATAAATAAATAAATAAACAAAATTTTTAAAAAGGTGGAGGACAAATCTAAGAGTTACTGGCCTTAAAGAAGAGGTAGAGAAAGAGATAGGGGTAGAAAGTTTATCCAAAGGGATAATGACAGAACTTCCCAAACCTAGAGAAAAATATCAATATCCAAGTATGGTAAGGTTATAGAACACCAAGTAGATTTAACCCAAAGAAGACTACCTCAAGGCATTTAATAATCAAACTCCCAAAGGTTAAGGATAAAGACAGGATCCTAAAAGCAGCAAGAGAAAATAAACAAGTAACATACAATGGAGCTGCAATACATCCGGCAGCAGACTTTTCAGTGGACACCTTATAGGCCAGGAGAGAGTGGCCTGACGCATCGAAAGTCATAAAAGGACTTTAAGAAAGTCATTTCTGACTGAAACAACTGAAGGAAAAAAATCTGAAGAGGAAAAAAAATGTTATTCTAGAATAGTATATCCAGTAAAAACACCCTTCAAACACGAAGGAGAAATAAAGACTTTCCTAAACAAACAAAAACTAAGCAATTTCATCAGCACCAGACCTGTCTTATAAGAAATGCTAAAGGGAGTTCTTCAGTCTGAAAGAAAAGGATGTTAATTAGCAATAAGAATGAAAGTGGCTAGTTCCTTATACAATCTACAGATGTTAAACAAATAATAAGGAAATATTATGAACAACTTTATGATAGCAAACTATCACAAGGACAAAAAACCAAACACCGCATGTTCTCACTCATAGGTGGGAATTGAACAATGAGAACACATGGACACAGGAAGGGGAACATCACACACCGGGGCCTGTTGTGGGGTGGGGGAGAGGGGAGGGATAGCATTAGGAGATACACCTAATGTTAAATAACGAGTTAATGGGTGCAGCACACCAACACGGCACATGTATACATATGTAACTAAGCTGCACGTTGTGCACATGTACCCTAAAACTTAAAGTATAATAAAAAAAAGTGACAATTTAGATTAAATGGACCAATACCAAACCTCACTTAGGAAGAAGTAGATTAACTGAATAGATCAGAGACCTTGATTTTGTAGCTAAAAACCTTCCCACAAAGAAACTTCAGCTCCAAATAGATACACTGATGAGTTCTAAATATTTCAGGAAAAAATAATACCCATTCTACACAGTCTTTCAGAAAAGTGAAGAAGAAATACCTTTCAACTCATTATATGAGGTCATCATTACCCTGATACTAAAACCAGACATACTATAAAGAAAGAAAAATTCAGACCAATCTACAATCCAACAATATATGAAAAGTATGATACATCAAGACCAAATAGGATTTATCCTAGGAATGAAAGGTTGATTAAACAGTGAAAAATCAACTAATGTAATTCACCCTATTAACAAACATTTTTAAAAGTCTGCTAAAAAGTAAAAATCATGTGATCATTATAATAGATGCAGAAAATGCACTGACAAAATCCAAGATCCATTTCTAATAAAAATCCTCAAAAAACTGGGAAAGGAAGGGAACTTTCTCAACTAGATAAAAAGGTCACCTAGAAAAACCTACAGCTTACATCATACTTAGTGGTGAAAGACTGCATGTTTTTCCTTAAGATCTGGAATAAGACAAGGATGTCTGCTTTCATCACTTCTATTAATCTTGTATTTGAAGGTCTAGTCAGTGCAAAAAGGGAAGAATAAGAAATAAAAGACATCCAGATTGGAAAGAAATAAACTTGTCTTTATTTATAAACAACACTTGGTATGATTCTCAATGTAGGCAATCTGCTGGAATCTATTAAAAATCTACTAATATTAGTAAATACATTTAGCAAGATTTCAGTCTATAAGATCGATATTTAAACATTACTATGAGGCCAGGCACAGTGGCTCAAGCCTGTAATCCCAGCACTTTGGGAGACTGAGGTGGGCAGATTGCTTGAGCTCAGGAGTTCAAGACCAGCCTGGGCAACATGGTGAAACCTTGTCTCTGTCAAAAGTATAAAAATTAGCCAGGCATGGTGGCAGGTGCCTGTGGTCCCAGATACTCGGGAGATTGAGGTGGGAGGATCCCTGAAGTGCCTGTACACTCCAGCCACGATTGCACCTTTGCACTCCAGCCTGGGTGACCCAGTAAGACTGTCTCGAAAAATAAAAATTAAATTATTTCTATTTACTAACAATAAACCAAAAATTTTACATTTTAAAAAAAGATCATTTATAGTAGTGCCAAACATATGGAATATCTAGGAATAAATCTGAAAAACTTGTTTATGAGTTGAAAGACTAAAAATTTTTAAGATGTCAGGTCTCACCAAATTGTTCTATAGATTCAATGCAATTCCTATCCAAATTCCAGCAGGGTTTTTTTTTTTTCTTGTAGAAATTCACAAGCTGATTTTAAACTTCATATGGAAATGCAAAGGACCTAGAATAGCCAAAACAACTTGAAAAAGACACAGTTGGAAGGCTTACACTATCTAATTCCAAGACTTATTATAAAGCTACAGTAATCAAGACAATATGGTATTGGCATAAAGATAAACAAATAGACTAATGGCACAAAATAGAGGGTCCAGATATAGGCCAACACATATGTGGACAACTATGTTCGGATAGTTGCAAAGACAATTCAGTGGAAAAAACATAGTCTTTTCAAAAAATGGTGCTGGAACAATTGGATCTCCATAAGCAAAAAATATTAAACTTAGATCCAATCCTCACACCATATGCAAAAATTAACTCAAAATGGACCAGACACCTGCACACAAAACTTAAAACTGTAAAATTTTTAGAGGTAAACATAGCAGAAAATCTTCAAAAATTTGAGTTAGACAAAGATTTCTTAACCATTATATTAAAATCATAGTCAATAAAAAGAAAACATCGATAAATTGTACTTCAAAGTTTAAAACTTCTGCTCTTTGAAAGACACTGTTAAGAGAATAAAAAGATGACTGAAAGACTGAGGAAAAAATATTTGCAAAGCATATATTTGATAAAGGATATATCAAGAAAAATTAAGAACTCTCACAACTCAAAAATAAGAAAACAATCCAATTATCCAATTTTTTTAAATGGGCAAAGGATTTGAATAGGCATTTTACCAAAGAAGGTATACAAAGGCAAAGAAGCACACGAAAAAGATGCTCAACATCATCAGTAATTAGGGAAATGCAAGTTAAAACAACAAGGAGGTACCACTATATACTTATTAGAATGGCTAAAGTTTAAAAGTGTGGCCTTACCAAGCATTGGCAAAGATGTAGAGAAACTGGAACTCTCATACACTCCTGGGAATGTAAAATGGTACAATCACTTCTAAAAATGATTTCTCAGAAAGTTAAAATACACCTACCATATGACCCAACCATTCTAGTTGTTGGTTTTTACCCAAGAGAACTAAAAGCATATGTCCACACAGAGATTTATACATGAATGTGCATAGCAGCTTTATTTGTAGTAGCCAAAAACTGGAAACAATCCAAATGTCCGTTAACAGATGAATGAATAAACAAATGATGCCATATTCATACCATGGAATACTACTCAACAATAAAAAAGTAATGAACTATAAATTCATGTTAATATAATAATACAAAACAATATTGCCAAGTGAAAAAATATATATAGTGTGATTTTGTTCATATAAAATTTAAGAAAATGCAAATTAATCTATAGTGACAGAAACCAAATTAGTAGTTGCCGAGGGGGAGAGGATGGGAAGGGGCAGAAGAAAGGACTGACACAGAGGCCAAAGGAACTTTTGCATGTGACAGATATGTTCATTATCTTAATGGCGGTGATCATCTCACAGGTATCTAACTTATTTACTTGTATACTTTAAATATCTACTGTTTGCTATATGCACATTCTATTTCAATAAAGCTGTCTTTTTTTAAAAAAAAATCCCTTACTTCAAATTAATAGGATAGGTTAAGGTAGGACAGAGGTGCAGGTCATCAAGCATAGCTACATGGAAAGAAAAGACAAACCTGTCCCTGGAAGTATTGTAAACAGGATGCAATTTCTTTATTAAGCTTTCCTTCCTGCCTACAGGAGACCCCTCTTCCTCCCTCCCTGGCATTCCATGGTGTTTCCTGCTTACCTGGGGTTTGGCATCCTATTCCCAACATGAATCATCCTGGCAGTGACTTCTTCTCTTTTTCTCTCTTTTCTTCTTCACGGAACCCATTCTTAACTGATCTGTCAGTTTGAGAGATATGATTTATGAATTCACAGAAAATTTTAAACCATGCACACACACACACAAATGACCACTGAAAGCAGCTCATCATGTTATCTCTTTTAGCACTGTCCCCTTCAATTCTGGTGAGATTTGCATTTTGAAAGACGCAACTGTTTTTATCCAAAATAAATGTTATAGGTGGAATTTTAGGCAGCACCAAGGAAGTACTTTGGGGCGTAGGGAATTTGCTGGCATCTACTTCATACTTTAAATCAATCTTTGTTTAAATAATAGTCCATGTGTCCTCTTCCCATTGGTTAGAGCAAATTTATTTAGCATCTGAAAAAAGGATAATTTAACAGCTTTGGCTACTTTTTTTTCCTCATAAATATACATGACTTTGCATTTTTAGTTTCCAGATGGGACTGGAATCTACAAGGTCAAAATACCAGAAGAAATGCCTCTCTAGCTTTTATAAAGCAAAAAGTTCTGGAAATCTCATCTCCTGCCGGTTGGTCCCAGGAGAATGCTAACCTAATTTTCAGACAGTGAATTAAGTCCTGGATATGAGTTCTATAAAGTATCTGAAGTGTTTCTAAGACACCCCAAATTCTCAGAGGCCATGGGCCCAGAGAGAGGGATATAGCTCAAAGATACCAATTTTACTTCTGGGACTTAAGCAACCAGTTTAATTTTTTTTTTTTTTTTTTTTTTTTTTTTTTGAGGCAGGGTCTCACTCTGATGCCCAGACTGGAAAGCAGTGGTATGAACATAGCTTACTGCAGCCTCAACCTCCCAGGTTCAAGTGATCCTCCCATCTTAGCCTCCCGAGTAGCTGGGACCACAGGTGTATGCCACCCTGCCTGGCTAATTATTGTTATTATTATTGTTGTTATTATTTTGTAGAGACAGGGCCTTGCTGTGTTGCCCAGGCTAGAGTGTAATAGCACTATCATAGCTCACTGCAGCCTCAGCCTTCTTAGGCTCAAGCAACCCTCCCACCTCAGCCTCCCAAGTAGCTGGGACTACAGGTACACACCACCAAACCCAGCTAAGTTTTGGGGGTTTTTTAGAGATGGGGTCTCTCCCTGTTGCCCAGGCTGGTCTCAAACTCCCACGCTCAAGCTGTCCTCTCGCCTTGACCTTCCAAAGTGCTGGGATTACAGACATGAGCCTTGGCACCTGGCCAACAAACAGTTTAAATATATTTATCATAGGGCTGTTATGTGCCAAGCCCTTTGTTAGGCAATGGGAACACAGCTGTGAATGACTGTCAACATCCCTGGCCTTAGTAAGTTTAGAGCTAGATGAGAAGACACACCTACAACAGCAGTCCCAAGTGTGATAAGTGTTAGAGATTGTCATGACCATGTAGGGGTGGGGCACCTAACCCAGGCGGGAGCATCAGAGAAGGCTTCCTGGAGGAGGTAATATTTGAGACTTAAAAGATGACCAAGCAAAGAGAAAGAAGAAGAGGGTTTCAAGCTTAGGGAGAAGGAGAACCCATATTATATTTGAAAATCTTAGAGATGAACAGTACAAATGAGATAGACCAAGAGAGAAGCTAATTCAAAATGAGGCTGAGGAGATGAACAGGAGCTAAATTTTGCAGGGTTTTATAAAACTGGTAAAGAATTTTGGCTTTTAACCTAGGAACCATGACAAGATTGCAAAGATTTGAGTAATAAAGCATGGTGATCACATATGCATTTCAGATTCAGAATCCAGCAGTTTACTTGAAGCCACTGTGTCATCATTTAGCTGTGGTGCTTCAGAGTGGGGCTCCTGAGCTGTATCACCTAGGCTCACACTCTGCCTCTCTTCTCTATTAGCTCTGCAAGTAAGTGAACCTCTCTGAGCCTCAGTTTCTTATCTATAAAAGACAGCAATGATGGTACCCTTCTCATAGGGCTGTCACAAGCATTAAGTCTGTTAGTACATGTAAAGTATTTGCAATTGTCCTTGTCATATAGAAAAGGCTCAAAAAGTATCTCCATTTGTACTTAGGTAGTCTTAAGAATCTCAAACACAGCATGTCTACAACTGAGTTATTTTTTAGCTGTCTCCATGTCACCTACTATTTACAGAGCCAGATTCCCAAATAATCACATTATTGAAATAATTTCAAAGGCAATAGAACAAAGAAAATAAAGATAAACCAGAAATTGATGAAATTATGAATAGAATTAAAAGCAGAAGTTGATTTCTTGAAGGCTCATAAAATTGAAAAATCTCTAGAAAGATTCCTAGGAAAAGAAATAAAATGCAAAATAAACAATATTAGGAATAAAAAGGGAAATATTAATCTAGATGATGCAGTCATTTAAAAGATAAACAGGATATTATAAACAACTTTGTACCAATACATTTGAAAATTTAGATGAGTAACTACTTAGAAAAATATAACACCAAAACTGCCTCAGGAAGAAATAAAAAATATGAATGTCCTAAAACTGTTAAGGAAATTTAATCCATCTTTTAAATCCCACAAAGAAAACTTGAGCTCCATATGGCTTCCTAGCTTTTAATATTTATTTATTCTACCAAATAAATTTAAATACAAATTGAAAAACTGGCTAGGCATGTTGACTCACACCTGTAATCCCAACACTTTGGGAGGCCAAGGCGGGCAGATGATCTGAGGTCAGGAGTTCCAGACCAGCCTGGCCAACATGGTGAAACCCCATCTCTACTAAAAATACAAAAATTAGTCAGGCATGGTGGTGCACACCTGTAATCCCAGCTACTAGGGAGGCTGAGGCAGGAGAATTGCTTGAACCCAGGAAGCAGAGGTTGCAGTGAGCTGAGATCGTGCCACTGCATTCCAGCCTGGGTGACAGAGCGAGACTCCATCGCAAAAAAAAAAAAAAAAAAAAAGAAAAGAAAAACAATCTTTCGCAAGCTATAGTCAAGTAGTCAAGTATAGAAAAAAAGAGAACACTCCCCTATGTGGAATATAAGGCTAATATAATCTTAATATCAATACCAGACAGGGAAAATACAAGAAAATAAAATTATAAGGGAATCTGTCTCATGAACAAAGATTGAAAAAAAATAAACAAAATATTAGAAAAATCAATCCCAGAAAAGTAGAAAAATGAGGCTGCCACATAAACAAGTTTGATTTTATTCCAAAAATGCAATTTTGTGTTGACACTTATTTTCTTTCAGCACTTTAACAATTTTGTTCCCCTTCTTCCTTGTGCCCATGCTCTCTAATGAAAAATTCATGGCCATTTGAGTTATTTCCCACTATAAGTAATGTGCTGTTTTTCTTGATGCCTTTAAGATTTTTCTCCCTTGTCTTCAGTTCTCAGCAGTTTGATTATGACGTATTCGGACATAGGTTTCTTTGGTTAATTTTGTCTGAGGTTAACTGAGCTTTTTGAATCTGAAGTTTATGTCTGTGGACAAATTTAAGAAGTTTTCAGACACTATATTTTCAAATTTTTTTTCTGCATTCTTATATTCTAGAACTCTGACACCACAAATGGTAGACCTTTTGTTGTTGTCCCACAGGGTTGTGAGGCTCTGTTAATTTTTTTCTCTGTATAGTTTATGTTGAATAACTTCTATTTCTCTATCTGCAAGTTCATTGATTCTTACCTTTGTCATCTTGAGTCTACTGTTAAATCCACCCAGTGAATTTTTTATTTCAGTTATTATATTTTTTAGTTCTAAAATGTCCATTTAAAAAAAATATATTTTTTATTTATTTGCTGAGACATTCTATCTTTCCATTCGTTACAAGAATGTTTTCCCTTAGTTCCTGGAGCATATAATATGATCCAGGAAGTAATAGCTACTTTAAAGTTCTTGACAGATAATTTCAACATCTGTGTCATTTTTGAATTAGTGTGTTGATTGTCTTTTGTGATAGAAATTGAGATTTGTCTGATTGGTTTTGTTTGTTTGTTTGTTTGTTTGTTTTGAGACAGGCTCTTGCTCTGTCCCCCAGGCTGAGTGAAGTGGCGCGATCGTAGTTCACTGCAGCTTCGACCTCCTGGGCTCCAGTGATCCTCCCACCTCAGCCTCCCGAGTAGCTGGGACCACAGGCATGAGCCAACATGCCTAGCTAATTTTTGTATTGCCTGATTGTTAGTAGGCCAAATAATTTTTTATTGCATTGTGGACATTTTGCTTATTATGTTATCAGACCCCAAGTCTTGTTTAAATGCCATGGAAAAAATTTATATTTTTGTTTTGCCAGGCAATAGACCTCTTTGGCTTTAAGCCTCAAGTTCTGACTATCTTTCTGTGAGATGTAATTCCAGTGACAGCTCTATTTGCAAACCCTTTCCTGCACTGTTCATATTTGTCTGACATGTGTGCCACCCAGTGACCAGTCTGAGACTTGGGTGGTGGCCTATCCACTGGTTCACTTCTCAAGTCTGTGGTATGCTGTTTAGGGAGAGGTCCACATACATACAACTTGAGGGTGAACCCAGGAGCTTTATGGGGTTTCTTTCCCAAGTAGGAGCTCTCATGATATCTCTGAGCTCTCATGATATCTCTGATACTTTCTGCTTCCCTGGGGTTCCCCTTTATGGTCTTCTGGCCAGAAAGCTGGGGCTTTTTATTCCACTCTGCTGAATATTTCCCACAACTGAGCCTATGACAAAGATCAAGTTGTGGAAAGATGGAGAGAAAAAGCAAAACAGAGGTTTACCTTACATTTTTGGGACCACACCCCCACAATCTGAGAGGAAAGTTCTCCTCTCTCAGAGTTTTAGGTGTTTGCATGTCTCTGCTACCCTATTACTGCTATTACCATTGCAGGATTGTCCTGGGGTCAGGATGCAACAGAATAGAGAAAACGAAGAGAAATGGGGGGTGAGTTTCAATACTTTAGGAATCCCCATTCTCACTCTTCAAGCCAATACTGGAGTGCTTCTCCTAAAGCTTGTTTTCACGTCTGGCTGCCCACTTATGGTTTGGGCTGCCTTGAGTAGTCTAGCCTGGGGGATAAGAGAGGTAAAAGAGGGGGGTAAAGTCATCACTGATTATGTGATACTTTGAATTTCTTCTCATTTTCCCTAACCTGCCTGCTATCATTCACTTTTCAGAGTCCTCAAATATCAGTTTCAAGTATTCTGTGAAAGTTTTAAAGTAGCATTCAGCGGGAGAGACAAAGTACAGTGCGTCTACTCCATCTTACCTAGAACTGGAACTCTGGCTCCTTCCACTTGCTCTTCACCATTCTCAGTGGTCCAAAATCATTTTCAACTTTCTAGTTATGTCTGTATTTCAGCCAGCAAGGAGGAGGAAGGGACCAAGAAGGCATCCTTCCATTTAAAAACACTTCCTAGAAATCTCACATAATGTTCCCACTTATTTCTTATCAGTCAGAATTTCATCAAAAGGTCTCAACAAACTGCGGAGCAAGCTTTATTCCAGCTAATGATTTGCCCAGTTAAGAAATGTTGGCTGCATTAAGGAAGAAGAGAATTAATGAATAGGGGAATAAGTAGTAGCCTCTATCACAGGTTTCTGGGGGGGTTTGTTTATTTATTTTTGAGACAAAGTCTCATTCTGTTGCCCAGGCTGGAGTGCAGTGGTACGATCTCAACTCACTGCAACCTCTGCCTCCCCAGTTCAAGCGATTGTCCTGCCTCAGCCTCCTGAGTAGCTGGGACTACAGGTGCATGACGCCGTGCCTGGCAATTTTTGTATTTTTAGTAGAGTTGGGATTTCACCATGTTGGCCAGGCTGGTCTCGAACTCCTGACCTCAGGAGATCCACCTGCCTCAGCCTCACAAAGTGCTGGGACTACAGGGTTTCTGGTTTTAGATCTTTCCAATTTCTTGCTCTAATCCTCACCCCTTAAAATACCCAAAGTGTGTCTAGAACTGAAATCAACCTAAATATATTATAGAAAGTAGAGAATGATTATAGAACAATCCAGGCTGCTTTGCATTTTCCACTGGTCTCCCTGCAGTATCCTGTGATGGACTTCAAGGCAGATAAGATTTGTGAAGGAGGGAATAGGAATATTTTTACCACCCTCTCAACTATCCCTCATAGGCTTTAATCTATCAGCAGATCTCTTTGAATTACATCCCAGTTTGATTAGAAGAGCATGGCATATACTGACTCTTTGACCACTCTCTTTGCTTTATATCTCCTTGCAGCCTCTCTCTCTGGTTTTCTACCTTTCTGAGACCCTCAATCTGGGATAATTGGCCAGACTTTTGGCATTCAGCTGGCTCTGAGGAGACTTGGGAAGAAATAGCAGTCACTCTTTTTTCAATGAGTAAGAGGCCATTAAGATCAGAGAAAGGAATCGATAGGAAGAAATACAGTGTACAAGAAGAATAATTGAAAAACACAGGGGGAAAAAAATAAGAGACTCTTTATGAGAAAGATTAAACTACCTATTTAGGCAGAGATTCCCTCTAAAAGATCGATATTTCTGCCTCTAGCATCCATGAATGGGGTTGTGTGTGTGTGTGTGTGTGTAATTTTTTCAGGAAAATAAAAAAATGACTCAGTATGTAGGTAGTGCAATGTGTCTTATTAATTGTTAGAAGTACAATCATGTTAAGTTTGGCACTAGTCTAGTTCTGGCCTCCTTCAATGAGATCTTTGATGGTCTACTATTGCCAACTTGGTGCCTGTGACAAACCTATCCTCACACTTTCCTCCTTTTCCCATAATCTGGAGCTGAGTTTTGTTAAGCTCTATGTTATCTACCACATTTCATTTATGTCAGCCTTCTCTCCTTGCCTCCAAAAGCTGGAATCTTTTTGAAGGCAGGGTGCATGCACGTCCCTATTCAAAAATGGCCTGGCTGCATGTCAGAGGATAAAGCTTCCCCATAGCCACCTGTGTCTAGGAAGGAGATCAGTATCTCCTGTGAAGCCAATCTTAGTCCAATAATCTAACCTAGAATTTCTAGAATTCAGTTTTGAAAAATCCCTGGAGCACTAGTTCTCAGCCTTGGCTACACATTAAAATCATGAGGCTGATGTAATTGTTACATCAGGAAATTTGGGGGTTGGATCCAGATATGAATGATTTGTAAAGTTCCCAGGTAGTAGTGGTGTGGTGGTAATGTTTAATAGCTAGCTTTCCAAAAGAAAAAAAATCTGTATGTTCATACATATATGTTTATTATAAATTCTAGTGATATAAAAGATGTGTTGCACACAATTTGCATATAAAAGTAAAATAGGCCAGGCGCAGTGGCTCACACCTGTAATCCCAGCATTTTGGGAGGCCAAGGCGGGCAGATCACGAGGTCAAGAGATCAAGACTATCCTTGCCAACATGGTGAAACCCCGTATCTACTAAAAATACAAAAAAAAAAAAATTAGCCAGGCATGGTGGCGCACACCTGTAGTCCCAGCTACTTGGGAGGCTGAGGCAGAAGAATTGCTTGAACCCGGAGGCGGAGGTTGCAGTGAGCTGAAATCGCACCACTGCACCCCAGCCTGTGCGACAGAGCAAGACTCCATCTCAAAAGAAAAAAAGTAAAATATATAATACTCTTTATTATGGATGCCATTTAGCCAAAAGATTCTCACAGAATGCCATCACTGATTTTTACTAAACTCTTATACCCATAAGTATGTCTGCAAATGATAAGTGAGTGTAGTTCGGACATAACTGTTGGTTGATATTTTCATTTGTGTTAATGAGAAAAATGAAAGTGAAACATGTAAAACTATGTCAGAATTTTTTACTTGTCAATAACAAGAGTAACTCTTTGCTGAAGCAAATAATGATTTTGAATAATAGAGGAATATTTTCTCAACTTTTTGTGCTATTCACAAGGTAATGGTTACAGGCAAGGCATACTTTTAGTTTAATCTGCATTATTTATATTTTTTCATAACTTTCTTAAGCCCAGACAATCAAGAAGATGATAAATCAGGCTTTAGTTGTAGAATTTGCCCATTTCCATGGTGTAAATACCCCCACCATGGTCAATTTTAAGTTAACGATGTGACATCACTGAGCACAGGAATTGGGAAGAGATGAGCAGTTGTATACCATTAGGTAGTGTTTCCACCACACACATACAGTAGATATAAGTACATAATCTCAAGAGCATAGATAAGCATAAAATAATCAGGAAGTAATGAGTTTTGAGTATTTATTACTTGTTTTTAAAATAATTTAATTATACGTGTATATACTTTTTAATAATGGTGGGTTCAACCATTGGTTCACAAAATTTCTGAAAATTTCAGAATGGTTTTCATGAGCTAATATGAACCAGCTCTAAAATATCACTTCTTCCAGATGAGTCCAATGGGCCACTAGGACTTGAAACCCTACCACAGAAGAAAACAGGATGAGATTCTTTCGCTTTGAGGCCTAAAACCACAGGACGATCTCCATGACTTCCTCACTTCAAGGTTGATTCAGTTTTACTCGCCTGCTCTCTATTTGGTCTTAAGATAGAAAAGTCAGGTTTGAGCCTCTGTGAGTATTCAAAGGGACAAGTACCACAATGGAGGTATCTGCTATAAGAATTACCTTTATTTTGGTCATCCAGGAACAGTGGTGAGAGTGTTCAGTGTCTTTTGCCCAGAGCTGTCTGCTCCCCAAGGTGGGAGGAAAGAGTAGGCTCACCAGGAGCTAGATAAACTATTCTGCTAGCTGAGCAAGCCACTCTATCCCAAGGGGCCTCTCCCTATCAACTTAAACAATGATTCCTTGATCTTATCCCTTCTCCAGAGGAAGGTGACACTCCCTCCACAGATGCCTATTTTCCCAATGCTGGTGTCGTGAAGAGCACTGGGCAGAGTCCCCAAAGCTGCATTCTAGGCCTCTGTCATTTCTCACCATTATAGTGGACAACTCCTTGTCTATGTATAGGATGGAATAATACCTGCTCTGTCTGCTTCTCAGAGTTGCTGAAAGGCTCCAGATAAATAGTATATTTGCAAATGATCAAGAAATACAAAGTTTTACATCTCTCTATAAGGTGCCATGACTATCACTGACTCTCCCCATCATTTTTGAGAGGTGGGCTCATCCAGTAATTAAATGTGGGCTTTGTAATTTTTTTTTCATTTTATGTTTTACCATGACTTATTTAAAATAATTCCCCAATTGAAGATCATTTGGGTTGCTTCTAGTCCTTTGCTCTTACAAACAACACTAAAATGAGTGTCTCCAGAGATATACCTTTCCTTATTTCCATATATATATATATATATATATATGTATATATACATAAGCAAGTAGATTCTCTGGGCCAAATAGAATGGGCATTTAAAATTCTCATAGATATTGCCAAGCTTAGCTTCAAAGAGGATACACTAGCTTACATATCCCTCAACAAATATGCCATTGCTTGTTTCTTGCATTCCTTTTACTGCAATGTCTTTACAATTTTACACCCCATTCATTATATTAATTTTTTTGTGTGAACTGCCTATGCATGCCATTTGCCAATTTCTTTTGAATTACTGGAAATTTTCTTACAGGTTTGTAATGGCATTTTAGTTAATATTAAAGTTAATCCTTTGTTTAAAAGAAAGGGTATGCAGTTTAGAGTTAGGTAAAGATTCAAATCCAAGATCTTTCACTTGTTAGCCCCTAGGAAATACTCAGTGAGCATTTATTAAGGGAATAACTATGTTTTGGGTGGCAAGTTATACAATCTCTCAGAGCCTCAGTTTCTTCAATAGACAATGGGGATGATTAAATCCTTCTTTCAGGATTTTTATGAGAATTAAATAATATATAAGGGACTTAATAAATATTCAGAAACAATAATAATGATCACTCCTAACTTTCTGAGCCCCCCTCAGGCCTGTCTAGAGTGAGTTTCTAGAATCAGCCTCCAATTCTATAGCAGCCTGCAACGAGATCCAGAAACAAATCAGACCTTTTGCATCTGACTTGCCACCTGGAGGTCGGAAGTGGCCACAAGCTTCCCTCCCCCTTCAAAGCTGCTGGGGGCATTACTGACTACAGATGAATCTGCTCTGGCCAGTTCATCTCCTGCAGCCCTGAGACCTCCGCTTCACAGTCCATTTCCTCATAATTTTTTACTTGCAAACGCAAGATGATTCTGCATGCTAATTGCTAAGGCCCTTGCACTTTAAGTTAATCGAGTTAATAACTGAGACTGCAGTTCACTTCATCAATCTTGTTGTTTATCCCATGGTTCTAAGTATATTAAAAATGTGATTTCCTCTGCTCTTCAAGACCATCGAGGGTTTAATTTTTTTTAAACATGCTTCACAGTAAAGTTATGAGGGTTTAATTACATCCACTATTTTGTTTCCCTTTTCCCCAGCATTCCCTTATTTTTATGTGTGTGTGGTTTTTGTGTTTTGTTTACTCGTTGTTTGCTACCTTTTCCCACTCTTGCAATAACTGCTATCCCCAAGCATTTGAAAGACTTTGCACTTCCTTGAACCCAAGATTTCAGCCATTTACGTATGAATCTCATTCACTTACTATAGGATTAGCCCCTGGAAGGTTGAAGGGCTCTCCTGGAATCCAGGCAGGGAGACAGCCTCATCCACTTGGCGACCCTTCTAGTTTGAAACAATCGCCTTCTGTTGAGTCCAAGTCTGCCTCCCTATAATTTGAGCCCATGAGTCCTAGTTTTTCCCACAGTGACAACTATACCACTTATAAAATGGCATTTCCCACCATTTTCTTAAAAAATACCTGGGTGCTTGTTAAAAAAACAGAACAAACAAAATATTCTCTAGTCCTACATCATACCCAGCAAATCAAATACAGGGAAAGCCCTGGGATTCCTTTTTCTTTTTCTTCTTCTTCTTTTTTTTTTTTTTTTTTTTTGAGATGGAGTCTCACTCTGTCACCCAAGCTGGAGTGCAGTGGCACAATCTCGGCTCACTGCAACCTCTGCCTCCAGGGTTCAAGCAATCCGCCTGCCTCAGCCTCTCAAGTAGCCAAGTAGCTGGAATTACAGGCACCCACCACCATGCCTAATTTTTTTTGTATTTTAGTAGAGACAGGGTTTCACCATGTTGGCCAACCTGGTCTCAAACTCCCCACCTCAGTTGATCCACTCACCTTGGCCTCCCAAAGTGCTGGGATTACAGGCATGAGCCATGGTGCCCAGCTGGGATTCCATATTTTTAACAAGCTCCTTAGATGATTCTTGCGGTGAAAATGCTTTTCTGCAAGATTAATCTTCCTATATTTGAAGGCTATTACTATCCATCCCCAAACTTTTCCTTTTCCAAAACAAAATATTTCTTGTTCCTACAGCCAACCCTTCCAAGAAAGGGTCTCCAGATCCTTTTCCAACCTATATTTGCTCTCCACTGTAAACAACAGACTCTATCAAGTTCCCTGTTAAAATATGACTCCCATGTGTGAAAACGATCTTCATTTATTCATTCAATAATGTACTCATTGCTTTAACACACATCTCTTAGTACCTATTATGAACAGGCATTGTGTTAGGTATTGAAGTTAAAGGAAGAACAAGATAATCACTGTTCCTGCACTGTACTTCTAAAATATAAAAAGAAAGAAAGAAAAGGAAAGAAGGAGGGAGGAAGGAAGGAAGAAGGGAAGGAGGGAAGGAAGAAAGAAGGGAAGGAGGGAGGGAGGAAGGGAGGGAGTAATAAGGAAAGAAAAGAAATATAGGAAAGGGGGAGAGAAGGAGGGAAGAAGGGAAAGAGAAAGATAAATAAATTTTAAGTGCTATGAAAGAAGCAAGCAAGGGCCAGGAGAGAGTAGACAGGGAAGGCATCTCAGAAAATGTGTTATTTAAGATCAGTCCTATAGAATGAGATGGACCTAATAATGTAAAGAATTCTGGGACCAGAGCAGGCAGGACAAAAGTAGTGTTTAATGGACAAAGACCCTAAAGTGGGCAGGAACCAGGCATATTCTAAAGGCCCCAAGAAAGCCAGTGTGGCTGGAGCATGTTGTACATGAGACAGATTTAAGGTGTGGTTGGAGAGATAAACAGAAATAAACATAGACCATCACACGAGACTTATTAGTACTGGGAAGAAATTTAGATTTTACTCTATATTAAGTGTGAAGTCACCAAAGGATTTTAAGCTGGGAATGACATGATCTGGTTTTTATTTTAAGAAGGTCATTCTTCAGAATGTCTGACATAAACACAGTTATGCAAATCAGCATCTTTTTCCTTCTCCTGGAAATTATACAGAAGCAATAAAAAGAATAAAAAAAAAACCACAAACTCAATTTCAGCTATACTAGGAGATAAATACAGTTCGCAGACATCAAAATATGCTAAAAGGGACAGGTGTGGTGGCTCACACCTGTAATCCCAGCACTTTGGGAGGCTAAGGTGGGCGGGTCACCTGAGGTCAGAAGTTCGAGACCAACCTGGCCAACATGGTGAAACCCCGTTTCTACTAAAAATACAAAAATTAGCCAGGTGTGGTGGCGAGCGCCTGTAATCCCAGCTACTTGGGAGGCTAAGGCAGGAGACTTGCCTGAACCTGGGAGGCAGAGGTTGCAGTGAGCCAAGATCACGCCACTGCACTCCAACCTGTGCAACAGAGTGAGATTCCATCTCAAAAAAAAAAAAAAAAAAAGGCTGAAAAAGTGTATGTATATATGCTAAAAGGTGCCACAAAGCAGTTAACAACAGGCAGAAAGTAAAGACAAGAAATACAGAGATTTGCAAGAGAGTTCAATGGTGTCAGATCTAAGTACCATAAAGTACTCTTCTTGCAAGGGAGGAGCTCACCCAAAGTGCAAAACTCTATCTCTTATTTACAATAGTAATTGTAATTTTACAATAATAATTGCTAATTTTTGTACAGAAACTGGGATAAGCAAGGCTAGTGATGACCTCCCAGGTCTGGTTTGGTCAGAGAAACAGTAGAAATGGATGACACAAAGAATCACCCAGATGAGCCATATTTGCAGATAGTAAAGAGCCTTTGGTTTATAAAGCCTGAAAAGTTCCTGCTCCTCTGCCCCAGAAGAATCTCCTGCAAACAGCTTCCACAAAAATGCGTATCATTCAAAGTAAGTAATAATAACGAAACCAGCCAGGTGCAGTGGCTCACGCCTGTAATCCCAGCACTTTGGGAGGCCGAGGTGGGGAGATGACCTGAAGTCAGGAGTTTGAGACCAGCAACATGGTGAAACCCCGTCTCTACTAAAAAATACGAAAAATTAGCCAGCGTGGTGGCATGCACCTGTAGTCCCAGCTACTCGAGAGGCTGAGGCAGGAGAATCGCTTGAACCTGGGAGGCAGAGGTTGCAGTGAGCCGAGATTGCACCATTGCACTCCAGCTTGGGCGACACAGCCAGACTCTGTCTCAAAAACAATAAAATAAAATAAAAATAAAGAAAGAAACTAACAGAATACTGATACAAAGGTACCATAAGAAAAAAAATAGATGAAAAAGAGCAGTAAAACTTGCCAAAAGATAAAATCACTATTGGAAAATGTTACCATGAAATAGATGGAAATCATGAGAAAATATTTTGTTAAGGATTAAAATAACTAATGAAGTAATTGCTTCTACAAAGGAAAAGAACAGAAGGCTGAGGTAGGAGAATCACTTGAGCCCAGAAGTTCGGTACCAGCCTCAGAAACATAGCAAAACCCCATCTCTACAAAAAATGAAAAATTAAAAATTAGCCGGGAGTGATGGTACACACCCATAATCCCAGCTACTCAGGAGGCTGAGGTGGGAGAATTGCTTGAGCCCGGGTGGGGAGGCTGCAGTGAACCAAGATCACACCACTGCACTCCAACCTGGGTGACAGAGTAAGACCCTGTCTCGAAAAAAAAAAGAAAAGAAAAAAGAAAAAGAACAAATGTAAGAAATAGAGATGAAGAGACTTCAGGAGCAGATAAAATTTGAGCTAGTGAAATCTGGGAAAATATCAGCGGGAAAAAAGCAAAACTTGAAAGGAGCACAGGGAACATAGGCATTTTAGAAAAACATAATAGGGGAAAGGACTCCCTGTTCAATAAATAGTGCTGAGATAACTGACCAGCCATATGCAGAAGATTAAAACTGGGCCCCTTCCTTATACCACATACAAAAATCAAGTCAAGATGGATTAAAGACTTAAATGTAAAGCCCCAAACTATAAAAACCCTAGAAGAAAATCTAAGCAATACCATTCTGGATATAGATATGGGCAAATATTTCATGAGTAAGATGCCAAAAGTGTCTTTACAACAAAAGCAAAAATTGACAAATGGCATCTAATTAAACTTAAGAGCTTCTGCACTGCAAAAGAAACTAACAGAGTAAACAGACAACCTAGAGAATGGGAGAAAATATTTGCAAACTAAGCATCTGACAAAGGCCTAATAATATCCAGCATCTAAAAGAAACTTAAACAAATTTACAAGAAAAAAAAACAATTAAAAAGTAGGCAAAGAACTTGAAGAGACACTTTTCAAAAGAAGACATACATACAACCAACAAGCATATGAAAAAAAAGCTCATTATTACTGATCATTAGAGAAATGTAAATGAAAACCACAATGAGATACCATCTTAAACCAGTCAGAATGGCTATTGGTGAAAAGCCAAAATGTAGCAGATGCTGGCGAAGCTGCAGAGAAAAGGGAATGCTTATGCACTACTGGTAAGAGTGTAAATTAGTTCAACCATTGTGGAAAGCAGTGTGGTGATTCCTCAAAGAGTTAAAAACAGAACTACCATTTGACTCAGCAATCCTGTTACTGGATATATACCCAAAGGAATATAAATCGTTCTACCATAAAGACACATGCATGCAATGTTCATTGCAGCAGTATTCAGAATAGCAAAGACATGGAATCAACCTAAATGCCCATCAATGGTAGACTGAATAAAGAAAATGTGGTACATATACACCATGGAATACTATGTAGCCATAAAAAAGAATGAGTTTATGTCCTTTGCAGGAACATGGATGGAGCTGGAGGCCATTATCCTTAGTAAACTAATGCAGGAGCAGAAAACCAAATACCACATGTTCTCATGTATAAGTGGGAGCTAAATGATGAGAACACATGGACACAGAAAGAGAAACAACAGACACTGGGGACTACTTAAGGGTAGAGGGTGAGAGGAGGGAGAGGATCAGCAAAAATAACTCTTGGGTACTAGGCTTAGTACCTGCATGATGAAATAATCTGTACAACAAACCCCCATGACATGAGCTTACCTACATAACAAACGTGCACATGGACCCCTGAACCTAAATAAAAGTTTAAAAAATCATAATAAGGACACTAAAGATAAAAATTAAAAGAGAATAAGATAAAATGGAAACAAAGGCATAACTAAAAAGGATTAGAGAAAACAATGATAGACATAGAGAACATATGGAAGAAATTCAAAATACTTTTAATTGGAAGAAGAAACGAGAGTTAGGATGAGATAAATAAAAATAAAAAATTAAGAAAGAAGAAAGAGGGTGGGAATGGTCGCTCATGCCTATAATCCTAGCACTTTGGGAGGCCGAGGCAGGTGGATCACCTGAGGTCAGGAGTTCAAGACCAGCCTGACCAACATGGAGAAACCCCGTCTCTACTAAAAATACAAAATTAGCTGTGCGTGGTGGTGCATGCCTGTAATCCCAGCTACTCAGGAGGCTGAGGCAGGAGAATCGCTTGAACCCGGGAGGCGGAGGTTGCAGTGAGCCGAGATCACACCATTGCACTCCAGTCTGGGCAACAAGAGCAAAAAAAATACTCCGTCAAAAAAAGAAAGGAGAGGAGAGGAGAGGAGAGGAGGTCAAGAGAATGAAATGGAAGAACATTTAAAGGTAAAATTCAGAGAATCACTTCTGAGTCTTAAATTTGTGTATTGAAATGAAACACCTCATGTCAGAGAAAATGCTACTGGATGGAATATTAAATGTAATTATTCATGACAATGTAAAAATTATACAATGAAGAATGAGAAAGAGGGAAAGCAGTTAGGGGGACAATTAGGTTCACAGATGGCTTCATCTGTAAAAAAGGGACTCAAAGATATTATTTAAAATGTAACAAGTGGTAGACATATAAGCATATGTAACAGTTCAAAAGAAATGTTAAGAAAGAGAACCTTGACAAAAACCAAGGGATAAAGAAGCGGTGGCTCATGCCTGTAATCCCAACACTTTGGGACGCCAAAGCTTGGGTGACATAGCAAGACCCCGGCTCTACAAAAAAATTTAAAAATTAACCGGGCATGGTAGTGCATGCTTATGGTTCTAGCTACCGCTACTTGGGATGCTGAGGTGGAAGGATTGCTTGAGCTGGGAGGTAGAGGCTGCAGAGAGCCATGGTCATGCCACTGTACTCCAGCATGGGCAACAGAGCAAAAAAAAAAAGAAAAAACAAACAAACAAAAAAACAAAACAAAAAAAAAGAAGAAGAAGGGGAGGGGAAGTAAAAGGAAGCATGCTAATGTTATCACTTCTCATGTTAAGGAATTAGTAGGTATTTTTGAAATAAATAAAGGACTTAAGGGTATTAAATAAAAGTATAATTATGAATTATTTTTTATGAACAAAACAAAAATAGATACCTTTCTAAACGTCAGAAGTACTAGACAGAGAACTAATGCAAAGAAAAAAAATACAGCAAAAAGACTTTTCTAAATACAGAAAATATCGCATAAATTAGAATGTCAGAACTAAACCCAACGTATCTGTCACATCAGTAATATAAATGGCTTAATTTACTTATTAAAATAAAAAGATGTTCAGATTGGATCACTAAACAAAATCTACCTCTTTGCAACAATCAGAATACACACCTGAAAAAATATATGTAGCAAGGTTGGAAATGGAAGTTTGTGCTAAGATATACAAAGCAGATGCAAACAAACAAAAAAAGCAGAGGCCATCATCTTAAATACAAAATAAGCTAGAATAAGAGCCAAAAAGCATTAAGTGGAGCAAAGAATAAATAAGATATAGAATACTTAAATAATTGATAAGGTACATTTGAATTAATATACATCAAACTGTGTATCCTAAAAATTAAAAATATGCCTCTCCAAGCACCTATGGTACTTTCACAAAAATTGATCATATATTAAGTCCACAAAGGAAACCTCAAAAATTACAAATACTAGTGTTAACCCAAAAAAAACAAATTCTATAAAATATTTGAAGCGATTTATTCTTTTTTTTTTTTCTTGAGATAGGGCCTCATTCTGTCACCCAGGCTGAAGTTCAGTGGCATGATCATGGCTCACTACAGCCTCAACCTCCCAGGCTCAAGTGGTCCTCCCACCTCAGTCTCCCGAGTAGCTGGGATTACAGTAGTGTGCCACCGAGCCCAGCTAATTTCTGTATTTTTTTGTAGAGACAAGGTTTCGCCATGTGAGCCAGGCTGGTCTTGAACTCCTGAGCTCAAGGGATCCACCCACCTCTGCCTCCCAAAGTGCTGGGATTACAGGTGGCACCTCGCCAGGCCTGAAGAGGTTTATTCTGAACCAAGCCTCAAGAGGTTCTGAGAACATGAGCCCAAGGTGGTCAGGTTACAGCTTAGTTTTATATATTTTAGGGACACCGAAGTTACAGGAAAAGACATAAATCAATAAAATCAATATATGTAAAGTTGTACATTCATTCAGCCAGAAAAGGTGGGATATCTCGAAGCGCCGGGATGGGACGTACAGGTCATAAGTAAGTGGAGTCAAAGATTTTTCTGATTGGCAGTTGGTTGAAAGAGTTAAGATTTGCCTAGAGAGTTGAAGTCAGCAGAAGGAAATGCTTGAGTTGTGGCAGCCAAGGTTCTTTTTATGTAAACGAAGGCTCCACATAGCAAGCTTCAGAGAGAATAGATGGTAAATGTCTCTTTTCAGACTTTAAAAAGTGTCAGACTCTGGAAAAGATCTAGTAAGGGAAAGAGACAGACACTCTACAGAATGCAAATTTCTCCCACAAGAGATGGCTTTTTAGGGCCATTCCAAAATATGTCAAAGAAATATATTTTGGGGTAAAATATTTTGATTTCCTTTAGGGCCTGTTATCTGTCATGTGATGCTATACCAGAATCAGGTTGGAGTTTGGTATCTTATTGCTACAAAGAGTCTGTTTTATCAGTCTTATGATCTCTAATGTCAATGCTAATCAGTTGTGCGGAAACTCCAGAAGGGAGGAGGGTATAACGAGGCAGAGCCAACCTCTTTCCCATCATGGTCTGAACTAATTTGTGAAGTTTCTTTGGGATCCCCTTATCCAAGAGGGTGCAGTCCATTCAGTTGGTTGGGTGTTTGGACCTGTGCTCCCACCAAATCTCATGTTGAGATGTAATTCCCACCTCCTGGTGGAAGAGTTTGGATGACGGGAGCACATTCCTCGTGAATGGCTTAGCCCATCCCCTTGGTGATGAGCGAGGGAGTTCTCATGAGAGCTGGTTGTTTAAAAGCCTGTGGTACCTTCCCCTACCCCTTGCTCCTGCTTTTGCCATGTGAAGTGCCTGCTCCTGCTTCAGTTCCTACCATGAGTAAAAGCTCCCTGAAGCCTCCTCAGAAGCTGAGCAGATGCTGGTGCCACACTTCCTGTAAAGCCTGCAGAACCATCAGCCAATTAATACTCTTTTCTTTATAAATTACCCAGTCTCAGGTATTTATAGCATTGTGAGAACAGTCTAATATAGAAAACTGGTACCCGCAGTAGGGTGACCAAAACCTTAATTCCTGAAGGATCTGGGCCATTTCTGGATGGCCCATCCTGCCTGGATTGGGTTGTTACAGAATGGGGACACAGATCCAAACCATATCAGGGGGCTTAGAATTTTATTTTTGGTTTACACTAGAAACAGTACATATAACATTTTCTAGTCAAAGGCAATAAAATTAGAAATTAGTAACAATCAGAAAACAAAAAGTTCCTTTCATCTGCAGATTTTAAAAAACTCTTAAACAAATTAAGAGGTTTAAGGTCTGAAAAAACACAAACAAAAACTGCAGACTTTCTAGGAAAAAAATAACCAAGATGTGTCAGAACCTATGGAATACAGCTAAAGTCATATTCAGAGGAAAATAAATAACCTTAAAAATATTTATAAAAATAAACATGAAAGAAAAAGGAACATATGAATTAGGCATCTGACTCAAAAGAAAACAGAAGAAATAAATACAAATAAAAGCAATAAAATCAAACCTCTTTTCTCTATAAATACCTAGTCTCAGGTATTTATTTATAGCAGTGCAAGATGGACTAATATGCCGTATAAGCTTCCCCCTCCATCCTGTAGTTCAAGATATTGTCTAAGCTTCAATCATTGGACCCTTCTAGTCTCATATTTTATAGGACTCCCCAGCATGTGCACATAATTAAATACAATTTCCTCCTGTTGATCTGTTTTATGTTCGTTTAATTCATAGCCCAGCCAAGGCACCAAGAAGGGTGGCGGGAAGTTGATTTTCGCTCCCCTACGCTGTGCTGCAGATAGACCCTCACTCAAAGTTGCACCCCTTTCTGGAGTGATGTCTCCACTAGCTGTTCAAAGCAGGAACAGAAGCCTGGACATTCCAGCCTAATGGAAAACAACAGTGATGGGCTATTCTAGTTCCAGAGCTGCCCAGGATGTCACCAGAGGTTTATTGGAACTGCATCACAGCAAGACTTCTCCTTCTGTTCTCTCCTGCTTCCTTCCCCTCCATTTCACGGGTTTTTATTCCAGCTGCATTCTCTGATAAATATTTGTACACTCAGCTCCCCCTCGGAGTCCTCTCCCCTGGGGAACGCAACATGCAACAAACCACTAACTAGCCAGTGAGGAAAGAAAGGACAAAAGTACGTATACACAGAATAACCAATTATAGGATAGTAGCCATGGATACAGAGGCAATTAAGAGAACCACACTTATTAATATGAATGAAATGAACAGTTTTCTAGGAAAAATATAACAATAAAACTAACTCAGAAGAAAGAGAAAAATCAAGACAGGTCTATTCTATAAGAAAAAGAGAAAATTCTGAGAATTGACTCTCCTAAAAGTAGCATCAAAAAGTAGAGGAACTCTATCAGACTCTCAAAGAACAGAATTCTAATAATGCAAACTGTTTCAGAGCATGAAAAAATGAGGTAATTTTTCAAATTCTTTCTATAAAGCCAACATAATAATGAAAAAAAATTCTGTCTAAGTGTATACAAAACAAACCAACTATAAATCAGTCTCATATAAGGGCATCAATTCTAAACCCAACAACTCATTTAAAACTAAGACATGGCTGGGCACGGTGGCTCACACCTGTAATCCCAGCACTTTGGGAGGCCAAGGCAGGTGGATCACTTGAGGTCACTTGAGGAGTTCGAGACCAGCCTGGCCAACATGGTGAAACCCCGTCTATACTAAAAATACAAAAATTAGCCAGGCATTGTGGCATGCACCTGAAGTCCTAGCTACTTGGGCAGCTGAGGCAGGAGAATCACTTGAACCCAGGAGGCAGAGGTTGCAGTGAGCCGAGGTTGTGCCACTGCACTCCAGCCTGGGTGACAGAGCGAAACTCTGTCTCAAAAAATAAATAAAATTTAAAAATAAAAAATAAAATGAATACATCATGACAGAGTGGAATTTATTCCTGGAATGCTCAGACTACTCAATATTAGAAAAGCTATTAACATAATTTATCTTAATAGCTCTAAAGAGAAAATCATATAATCATGTTCATAGATGCTGAAACAGCATTTGACAAAACTGATAAGCCAATCTTCATAAAAACACACAGTAAAGTAGGAGTATATGAATACTTCTCAACACGATAGATCTATTTCATCCCTGAAAATCCACTGTTTACAAAAAAGAGTTCAATACCCTGGTTGGATGCAAAGTAAGTATACAAAACCTATAGTTTTCATATATATAAACAACCACCAGTTAGCAGGTACTGTAGAATTTTTTTATATTTAAGTGGCAACATAAAAGATAAAATACTAGCTAGGCACAGTAGCTCATACCTGTAATCCCAGCACTTTGGGAGGCTTAGGCGAGTGGATCACCTAAGGTCAGGAGTTCAAGACCAGCCTGGCCAACATGGCAAAACCCCGTCTCTACTAAAAATACAAAAATTAGCCAGGCATGGTGGCATGTGCCTATAATCCTAGCTACTCAGGAGGCTGAGGCAAGAGAATCACTTGAACCTGGGAGATGGAGGTTGCAATGAGCTGAGATGGTGCCACTACACTCCAGCCTGAGTGACAGAGCAAGACTCCATCTCAAAAAAATAAAAAATAAAAAAAAGATAAAGATACTAGCAATGAGCTTAACAAAAAGTGTACAAGGATATAGAGAAAATGTTTAAACCTCACTAAATGCCCCAAAAGAAGATTTGATCAAACACAGCAAAAACAAGTAGATTTGTTGGGCAGCTTTTGCCCTAATCCAGGGGACTTGCTGTACCCAGTACTAAGAACCATGAGGCTTTCTCTTCCCATGATTTGGACCTTCCTTTGTCGGGCTTTGTTCAGTAAGTTCTCTGGGGATTACCAGGGTGCTTCAGAGGTCAAGCTAGAAGGGGGCCCCACCTTTTCTAAATAGCACTTGACTGAAGACCCCAAAGCAGAGAGCCAGGCTGGTGCTCCCTCAGCTCTACAGGTGTCAGAGGAGAATAAGCAGGCCCTGAGGGCTAAGCAGAAACCCCGTCACTGTGCCAGGCTTAGCAAGGAAGGGAAAGGGGCTTCGGAGGAACAGCAGGAGCAGGAATGAGGAAGGGAAGCCCATTGGCACCAGCGGCTCAGAGGCCAGGCCAGCCTTGCGGCCACGTGTTCTATACCCACTCTGTGCCTCAGTATCAAATGGGGATAGTAACAGTGCATTCCATGTGGGAGGGACTGAAGATTAACAAGATAATACATTAAAGTGCTTAGAACAGTGCCTGGCTGTTCTAAGTAAAGTATTTACTATTATTACCAACCACAGGCATAGGCAGTGGGGGTGGGGAAGTTAAGTAACCTAATAGGTTGTCTGCAGATCAAAACCTCTTCTAGTTGGCCACTGGGGCTGCCTCTTGGAGCCCTAGGAGCCATGTCCTCTGCCTGGAGGGTTTCCTCTGTAGGAGGGACACTAGGGGATTGGATGCCTCTCGGGAGCACACACTAGAGAAACCATGTGTGTCTCCTCCAGGTCCACGTGATGTACAGTCAACCCATTGCTGGCTGAAAGAGGCCAGAAACCTTAGCTCTGGTCCCAGTTGATCTACCTGTGAGTGAGCTGGGGTGGGGTAGTCGATTGCACGGAGTGCCTGAACTTTTCTGAGCTCCAGACCCACCCAGCCTCCACACCTGGACAAGGCCACAGGAATATGCCTGATGGACATCTCAAACATAAAGCCCCCAAAACAGAACACTGATCTGCATTCCTTCCCAAGCCTGTTGTTCCCACGCAGCTCCACTACACGGACAAAGGTGTTTGCATTCATCCAGCTGCTTGGGTCAAAAAACTGGGAATCATCTTCAGCCCTCTCTCACTGCCCGCAACCAGTCTATTGGCAAAAGCCAAATGGCTTTTCCTTCAAAATGTATCCTGAACCCAACCTCCTCATATCCCTTTCACCTCTCTCACCCTTGATGATCCAAGCTACCATCATTCCTTGCCTAGAATACAATAAAATACTCCCAACTAGTCCACCTCCCTCCTCTCTTGCCCCATTCTCCTCCTAGCAGCCAGAGTGATCTTTTAAAAACATACATGAGACCAGTTCATGAGCCCCTGCTTAAACCTCAGACTACAATCTGAGAAAACAGCAGCTTCATCTGTCTTTATAGTCACATTACCTACAATAGTAGCTGGCACATTGTTGGAACTTAATAAATATAAAATGGATTGAACAAATGGATTAATGAATGAGGGAATAAATGAATGAATTTAAGACCTTTACAAGTTCACACTTGTCTATTTCAAAAATGTGGGCAATATGACCCACAGGGAATGTCATCAACAGGCTCAAACAGGGCTGATGATTCTTTTGCATCGGATATGGAAATAACCTCTCAATATCATTTAACATGTTGCAAATTATTCAAACTTCAATATACATTAGATCATTTGACTTTTTTAATACCCATTTTTGACTACAGTTGTTCAGCCATATCATGGCTTAAACATCTTTAGAGGGAATGTAGGGATATTACCTTTCCATCATGGGCCACTAGTCACAAGACTATTCAATTACACACCCCAAGGTTGAATGTAAATAGCATATGATAATGAGAGAGGCAGAGATGCTATAGTGGAAGGAGCCCAGACATCACAGCCAGGCCAATCTGGTTGTGAACCCCGGCTACAACAAGGTTTTTCTTTTTAGTTTTCTTTTTAATTTGCTTCTTTTTTTTTAATACTTTAAGTTCTAGGGTACATGTGCACAAATGCAGGTTTGTTACATATGTATACAAGTGCCATGTTGCTGTGCTGCACCCATTAACTCCTCATTTACATTAGGTATTTCTCTTAATGCTATCCCTCCCCCGTCCCCCCACCCCATGACAGGCCCAGGTGTGTGATGTTCCCCGCCGTGTGTCCAAGTGTTCTCATTGTTCAATTCCCACCTGTGAGTGAGAACATGCGGTGTTTGTTTTACTGTCCTTGTGACAGTTTGCTCAGAATGATGGTTTCCAGCTTCATCCATTTCCCTACAAAGGACATGAACTCATCCTTTTTTATGGCTGCATAGTATTCCATGGTGTACGTGTGCCACATTTGCTTAATCTAGTCTATCATTGATGGACATTTGGGGTGGTTCTAAGTCTTTGCTATTGTGAATGGTGCCACAATAAACATACCTGTGCCTGTGTCTTTATACTAGCATGATTTATAATCCTTCGGGTATATACCCAGTAATGGGATGGCTGGGTCAAATGGTATTTCTAGTTCTAGATCCATGAGGAATTGCCACACTGTCTTCCACGATAGTTGAACTAGTTTACACTCCCACCAACAGTGTAAAAGCTTTCCTATTTCTCCACATACTCTCCAGCACCTGTTGTTTCCTGACTTTTTAATGATCGCCATTCTAACTGGTGTGAGATGGTATCTCATTGTGGTTTTGATTTGCATTTCTCTGATGGCCAGTGATGATGAGCATTTTTTCATGTGTCTGTTGCCTGTATAAATGTCTTCTTTTGAGAAGTGTTTGTTCATATCCTTCGCCCACTTGTTGATGGGGTTGTTTGATTTTTTCTTGTAAATTTGTTTAAGTTCTTTGCAGATTCTGGATATTAACCCTTTGTCAGATGGGTGGATTGCAAAATTTTTCTCCCATTCTGTATGTTGCCTGTTCACTCTGAGGGTAGTTTCTTTTACTGTGCAGAAGCTCTTTAGTTTAATTAGATCCCATTTCTCAATTTGGATTTTGTTGCCATTGCTTTTGGTGTTTTAGACATGAAGTCCTTGCCCATGCCTATGTCCTGAATGGTATTGCCTAGGTTTTCTTCTAGGGTTTTTATGGTTTTAGTTTAACATTTAAGTCTTTAATCCATCTTGAATTAATTTTTGTATAAGGTGTAAGAAAGGGATGCATTTTCAGCTTTCTACATATAGCTAGCCAGTTTTCCCAGCACCATTTATTAAATAGGTAATCCTTTCCCCATTTCTTGTTTTTGTCAGGTTTGTCAAAGATCAGATGGTTGTAGATGTGTGGTGTTATTTCTGAGGGCTCTGTTCTGTTCCATTGGTCTGTATGTCTGTTTTGATACCAGTACCATGCTGTTTTGGTTACTGTAGCCTTGCAGTATAGTTTGAAGTCAGGTAGCATGATGCCTCCAGCTTTGTTCTTTTGGCTTAGGATTGTCTTGGCAATGTGGGCTCTTTTTTGGCTCCATATGAACTTTAAAGAAGTTTTTTCCAATTCTGTGAAGAAAGTCATTGGTAGCTTGATGGGGATGGCATTGAATCTATAAATTACCTTGGGCAGTATGGCCATTTTCATGATACTGATTCTTCCTATCCATGAACATGGAATATTCTTCCATTCGTTTGTGTCCTCTTTTATTTCATTGAGCAGTGGTTTGTAGTTCTCCTTGAAGAGGTCCTTCACATCCCTTGTAAGTTGGATTCCTAGGTATTTTATTCTCTTTGAAGCAATTGTGAATGGGAGTTCACTCATGATTTGGCTCTCTCTTTGTCTGTTGTTGGTGCATAGGAATGCCTGTGATTTTTGCACATTGATTTTGTATCCTGAGACTTTGCTGAAGTTGCTTATCAGCTTAAGGAGATTTGGGGCTGAGACGATGGGGTTTTCTAAATATACAATCATGTCATCTGCAAACAGGGACAATTTGACTTCCTCTTTTCCTTGTTGAATACCCTATATTTATTTCTCCTGCCTGATTGCCCTGGCCAGAACTTCCAACACTATGTTGAATAGCAGTGGTGAGAGAGGGCATCCCTGTCTTGTGCCAGTTTTCAAAGGGAATGCTTCCAGTTTTTGCCCATTCAGTATGATATTGGCTGTGGGTTTGTCATAAATAGCTCTTGCTATTTTGAGATATGTCCCATCAATACCTAGTTTATTGAGAGTTTTTAGCATGAAGGGCTGTAGAATTTTGTCAAAGGCCTTTTCTGCATCTATTGAGATAATCATGTGGTTTTTGTCTTTGGTTTTGTTTCTGTGATAGATTACATTTACTGATTTGCGTATGTTGAACCAGCCTTGCATCCCAGGGATGAAGCCCACTTGATTGAGGTGGATAAGCTTTTTGATGTGCTGCTGGATTCAGTTTGCCAGTATTTTATTGAGGATTTTCACATCGATGTTCCTCAGGGATATTGGTCTAAAATTCTTTTTTGTTGTTGTTGTGTCTCTGCCAGGCTTTGGTTTCAGGATGATGCTGGCCTCATAAAATGAGTTAGAGAGGATTCCCTCTTTTTCTATTGATTCAAATAGTTTCAGAAGGAATGGTACCAGCTCCTCTTTGTACCTCTGGTAGAATTCGGCTGTGAATCCATCTGGTCCTGGACTTTTTTTGTTTGGTAGGCTATTATTTAATGCCTCAATTTCAGAGCCTGTTATTGGTCTATTCAGGGATTCAACTTCTTCCTGGTTTAGTCTTGGGAGGATGTATGTGTCAAGGAATTTATCCATTTCTTCTAGACTTTCTAGTTTAATTGCATAGAGGTGTTTATAGTATTCTCTGATGGTAGTTTGTATTTCTGTGGGATCGGTGGTAATATCCCCTTAATCATTTCTTATTGTGTCTATTTGATCCTTCTCTCTTTTCTTCTTTATTAGTCTTGCTAGCGGTCTATCAATTTTGCTGATCTTTTCAAAAAACCAGCTCCTGGAGTCATTGATTTTTTGAAGGGTTTTTTGTGTCTCTATCTCCTTCAGTTCTGCTCTGATCTTAGTTATTTCTTGCCTTCTGCTAGCTTTTGAATGTGTTTGCTCTTGCTTCTCTAGTTCTTTTAATTTCGATGTTAGGGTGTCAATTTTAGATCTTTCCTGCTTTCTCTTGTGGGCATTTAGTGCTATAAATTTCCCTCTACACACTGCTTTAAATGTGTCCCAGAGATGCTGATATGTTGTGTCTTTGTTCTCATTGGTTTCAAAGAACATCTTTATTTCTGCATTCATTTCGTTATTTACCCAGTAGTCATTCAGGAGCAGGTTGTTCAGTTTCCATGTAGTTGTGCAGTTTTGAGTGAGTTTCTTAAACCTGAGTTCTAATATGATTGCACTGTCTGAGAGACAGTTTGTTGTGATTTATGTTCTTTTACATTTGCTGAGGAGTGCTTTACTTCCAACCATGTGGTCAATTTTGGAATAAGTGCAATGTGGTGTTGAGAAGAATGTATATTCTGTTGATTTGGGGTGTGGAGTTCTCTAGATGTCTGTTAGGTCTGCTTGGTGCAGAGCCGAGTTTAAGTCCTGAATATCCTTGTTAACCTTCTGTCTCATTGATCTGTCTAATATTGACAGCAGGGTGTTAAAGTCTCCCATTATTATTGTGTGGGAGTCTAAGTCTCTTTGTAGGTCTCTAAGGACTTGCCTTATGAATCTGGATGCTCCTGTATTGGGTGCATATATATTTAAGATAGTTAGCTCTTCTTGTTGAATTGATCCCTTTACCATTATGTAATGGCCTTCTTTGCCTCTGTCGTCTCTTTTGATGTTTGTTGGTTTAAAGTCTGTTTTATCAGAGACTAGGATTGCAACCCCTGCTTTTTTTTTTTTTTTTTTTTTTTTGCTTTCCATTTGCTTGGTAGATCTTCCTCCATCCCTTTATTTTGAGCCTATGTGTGTCTCTGCACATGAGATGGGTCTCCTGAATATAGCACACTGATAGGTCTTGACTCTTTATCCCATTTGCCAGTCTGTGTCTTTTAATTGGAGCATTTAGCCCATTTACATTTAAGTTTAATATTGTTATGTGTGAATTTGATCCTGTCATTATGATGTTAGCTGGTTATTTTGCTCGTTAGTTGATGCAGTTTCTTCCTAGCATCAATGGTCTTTACAATTTGGCATGTTTTTGCAGCAGCTGGTACTGGTTGTTCATTTCCCTGTTTAGTGCTTCCTTCAGGAGCTCTTGTAAGGCAAGCCTGGTGGTGACAAAATCTCTCAGCATTTGCTTGTCTGTAAAGTATTTTATTTCTCCTTCACTTATGAAGCTTAGTTTGGCTGGATATGCAATTCTGGTTTGTAAATTCCTTTCTTTAAGAATGTTGAATATAGGCCCCTACTCTCTCCTGGCTTGTAGAGTTTCTGCCAAGAGTTTCTGCCATTGCTGAAGCTTGAGTAAGTAAACAAAGTGGCCGGGAAGCTCAAACTGGGTGGAGCCCACTACAGCTCAAGGAGGCCTGCCTGCCTCTGTAGACTCCATCTCTGGGGGGCAGGGCGTAGCTGAACAAAAGGCAGCAGAAACTTCTGCAGACTTAAATGTCCCTGACAGCTCTGAAGAGAGCAGTGGTTCTCCCAGCACGGAGTTTGAGCTCTGAGAACGGACAGACTGCCTCCTCAAGTGGGTCTCTGACTCCCGTGTAGCCTAACTGGGAGACACGTGCCAGTAGGGGCTGACTGACACCTCATACAGCCAAGTGCCCCTCTGAGATGAAGCTTCCAGAGGAAGCATCAGGCAGCCTCCGCTGGTGATACACAGGCAAACAGGGTCTGGAGTGAACCTCCAGCAAACTCCAACAGACCTGCAGCTGAGGGTCCTGACTGTTAGAAGGAAAACTAACAACAGAAAGGAATAGCATTTCAAGTCTCTCTACTAGCTGTTATGAAATACACAATACTTAGTTGTTAACTATAACCACCCTACTCTGCTATGAAATATTAGAACTCATTCCTTCTATCTAACTATATGTTTGTACCCATTAACCAACCTATCTTTATCGCCCTCTTTCATCCATACACCCCTTGCCTCTGGTAACCATCATTCTACTCCCTACCTCCATAAGATCAACTTTTTAAGCTCCCACATGTAAGTCAGAACATGCAGTATTTGTCTGTGTCGGGCTTATTTCACTCAACATAATGATCCCCAGTTTCATCAAGTTTCTGCAAATAAGAGGACGTCATTCTTTTTATGGTTGAATAGTATTCCATAAAATACTATCTACTGCTTTTCTTTATCCATTCATCCATTGATGGACACTCTTTAACAGTGTGATCACGTACATAGCTGCCAAAGCTTTGGACTGGGTGTGAAGTTCACTTCAGCTGCTTACTAGCTATGAGACTTTGGGCAAGTCACTTGGCCTGTCTGAACTTCAGCTTTCTTACATTTTAAATGGGGGAAAATAATATAGTCCTCCTGCTATAATTGTCATAAGACTCAAATGAGATAGTGCATACAAGTCACTTAGCAAAAAACCTGATCGTTAGTTAGGTGGTAAATGCTTAATAAGTGCTATTATTATAATCTCAGGCATAAGCATTTGTGAGACAAAATAAAATCCTTTATAAAGTATATATTGTCTATAAAATAAATGTTAGTTCTATTTGTCTTAATCCATTTTCTGTTGCTTATAACAGAATACCTAAAACTTGATAATTTATAAAGAAAAGGAATATATGTCTTACCATCATTAAGATTGAGAATTAGCCAGGTGTGGTGGCAGGTACCTGTAATCCCAGCTACTTGGGAGGTTGAGGCAGGAGAATAGCTTGAACCCAGGAGGCAGAGGTTGCAGTGAGCTGAGATCACGCTACTGCACTCCAGCCTGGGTGACAAGAGTGAGACTCTGTCTCAAAAAAAAAAAAAAAAAGACTGAAAAGTCTGGCCAGGCACAGTGGCCCATGCCTGTAATCCCAGCACTGTGGGAGGCCGAGGCGGGCAGATCACCTGAGGTCAGGAGTTTGAGACCAGCCTGGCCAACATGGCAAAACCCCGTCTCTACTACAAATACAAAAATTTGCTGGGTGTGGTGGTGCATGCCTGTAATCCCAGCTACTCGGGAGGCTGAGGTAGGAGACTCTCTTGAACCCAACCTAGGAGGCAGAGGTTGCAGTGAGCCAAGATCATGCCACTGCACTCCAGCCTGGGAGACAGAGCAAGACTCTGTCTCAAAAAAAAAAAAAAAAAGATTAAAAAAAAAAAAGACTAGAAGTCCAAGACTGAGGGGCTGCATCTGGTGAAGGCCTTCTTGCTGGTGGGGACTCTCTGCAGAGTCCTGAGGCAACACAGGGATCACACAATGAGGGGGCTGAGTGTGCAAGCTCTGAACGCTCTTCTTCTTTTAAAGCGACCTGTCCCACTCCCATGATAACCCATTAATCTATGAACCCATTAATCCATTCCATTCATAAGGGCATAGCCCTCATGATCCAATCAGCTCTCAGTATTTAAATTGCCTTAAAGGCCCTGCCTCTCAATACTGCCACATTGGGGATTAAGTTTCAACATGAGCTGTGCAGGAGACAAACATACAAACTGAACCACAGTTCAACCCCATCCCTACCCTGACTCCACTCTCCACAGGGAGAGGGAAAAACCAAGGATATCCATTGCCTAGGTATTCAATTTTAGAAAAGGGAAATTTGATACTAGTTCAAAAAATATGTAAAGGAAGAGTTACAAGATAAGATATTTTTAAAAAGAAAAAGAGGGGAAAAAGAAAGGGAAAAGCACAGAAAGCCTAGAAATTATTTAAATGACCACCTACTGAAAACCCAGGAAAAAAAGTGTCACAGACCAAAAATACCAGACACCCAAAACCAGCAAAGGCAAAGAGAGTGCAACAGTGAAAGAAGACTTTTCAAAAACTGGATTGAGAGCCCAAGTACCCAGAATGGAAAAGCCCATAAAACATAGCAATGAAGAGCATTCAACAGGAACTTTTATCATGTACCTACCATATAACTTGGAATAGGGCCAATGGGCCAAAAATGACTTTAGAGAGCACTTTGCAAAGAACTCCTGGGTCAAGAAGAGCTCTTTTCACTCTACTGCAAGGAGGAGGTGATCGCTGTGTGACCTGCTTGTCCAAGTCTGAAAAACACAGGAAAAGTGACAGAGAAAACGGAGCAGTGAAAAGTGTGGGCTGCTTCAGCAGGACAGAGAGCTGGGACTTCTGGGTTCTGAAGCCAGCTGGGGCATGAAGAGGACGTATTAGAAGACATTCACCATAGAAGCAATTTCTCTTCTAATATTTATAAACACAGATTATACTAACATAACAGCTACAACTTCTTGTTTTAACAGTCTAACAAATATCACAGTAACTACCCAGGGGAGATGCCAGAATTATATGTAAAAGGTAATGTAACACAATGTTTTCAGGCTACTGAAATTCAGTCGATGCAAACTCAACAAATGTGTCTTTGTGAAGGGGTCAAGTTGCTCATATCACATGCTGATTTGAAGGAGCCTCTTTGGGCTCTTTTACCATCTCAGAGAACATAGGTAAAGTGGCTTTTTCCATGATAAAAGATGACTGGCAACATTATTCCTTATTTTCCCAGCAATGATGTAATTTTGGATGTAGATAAAAAATTTTAAGTGACTCATGGTCTCCATAATCAACTGTCTTTATCTGACTCTCAAACTTCTTTTTACTTGAGATCAAATCAAATGCAATTTCAAAATATTTATTTTTGCCTTTGTGTTGAGAGCTTTCAGTCTTGAAAAGAATGTTGTTGTGAAAAGCAACTTAGTGAGTCACTTTTTATCATCAAGGTCAACAATGAAATCATTCACCCATTTATGCCTTTACTTTTGCCACAGGTCTTAAGTTTTCTCCACAAAAACAAACAACCATTTGATTCTTTGCCTGAAAATTTTAATGAGCGCCTTCTCCTAGCTGAGATCACATACAGATATGGGCTAGCACAAGCTTTCAACTTTCTCTAAAAAGGCCGGTATTCAAACCACAGTTCTTTACACAGGTTAGATGCTATTTTTACCACTGACCAGCTGAGAACACTGATGCTTACTGAGAAAATCAAGACTCAGACCCTTTGAGGCCAAATGAGCTAAATAAATTGGGGTGTGACTAAGCTATATGGCCATGGCATGGCTTTGGCGCCTGCTGCCTCTCCTGAGCTCAGTGTGCAAGTGTACATGAGCGTCGGCTCATGCTAACTGAATTAATGCTCACTACCTCTAGGTACCTTCGTATAAAAATAAGGTGAGTTGGCCGGCGCAGTGGCTCACTCCTGTAATCCCAGCACTTTGGGTGGCCCAGGTGGATGGATCACAAGGTCAGTAGTTCGAGACCAGCCTGGCCAATATGGTGAAACCCTGTCTCTACTAAAAATACAAAAATTAGCCAGGCGTGGTGGCATGCACCTGTAATCCCAGCTACTCAGGAGGCTAAGGCAGGAGAATCACTTGAACCCGGGAGGCAGAGGTTGCAGTGAGCTGAGACCACGCCACTACACTCCAGCCTGGGTAACAAAGCGAGGCTCCATCTCAAAATAAATAAATAAATAAATAAATAAATAAATAAATAAATAAATAAGGTGAGTCTTCAAAACCATAACAGGTGAATCAGTGTAAAAATCTATGAGCAATTTAAAAAGTATAGGATGTACTTTGATGCTTATTTAAAACCTGGGCTTTACTGTTATGGAAGCACAAATGAGCCTAAACATTTATGTCTCTTGCATGATAAAACTGATCATCGAACAATCATTATTGCCGTGACGTTTCAAAATCAATTATACAAATTTTGAAAGAGTCTCAGAAAGTCTTATGGATAACAAGAAAGCTGTCTGGGCTAGAAATAATACAATGGAAAGCAAATAAAAATTGCTTGAAGCTTCTTTCAGACTTTAAGAAAGACTTAATAGGTGAAAACTTGGTTGATCCCTATGCTATGGATCTGACTGAATGTGTTTAAATTCAGGAAGAGACAGCCAAGCTCAACTGATGCATTTTTACAAGTTCAAAAGACATGCCTTAACTCTGAGTGAGAGACCAAAGTCAACTGCATCTTTACCTTCTGATTGGACTAAAAGGCCATTAATGAATTTGACATTTGATTGTGCTTGTTTTGCTTTATTTTTAAATGATGTGTGGGTGAAAATGTGCTGATTTGCCAACTTCTTTTGGTCGAGTTAAAGAAACATTCAATCAGATATGTGATCCACTTGTTATAGATTTGATAGTGCTATCTTTGCTATTCATTATGGAAATTCATTATGGAGCCTCAAGACCACACCCAGACGGCTGTAATTATTATGTACTTGAGTTTGTTCTGAATGTCTCTCATTGTCATATGGATATTATAGTTTACACTTCAAATGGCTTTCAACCATCTATCTATGCTCTCAGTTGAAATTTTTTGAAGTAGATTTGTTTTTTTGTTTTTTTTTTTTTTTTTTTTTTAGACGGAGTCTTGCTCTGTTGCCAGGCTAGAGTGTAGTGACACAATCTCGGCTCACTGCAACCACAACCTCCACCTCCTGGGTTCAAGTGATTCTCCTGCCTCAGCCTCCTGAGTAGCTGGGACTACAGGTGCGTGCCACCACACTGGGCTAATTTTTTATATTTTAGTAGAGACGGGGTTTCACCATGTTGGCCAGGATGGTCTCGATCTCCTGACCTCGTGATCCACCCGCCTCGGCCTCCCAAAGTGCTGGGATTACAGGTGTGAGCCATGGCACCTGGCATTAAATTACAATTTAAAATTATTCCACTTAAAAATGGAATGGGATTAAGAACCCTTTCCCCATTCCCTTCCCTTCTGTTCCCTTTCTCCTTCCTTTTACTCCTCCTCCTCTTCTCTTTCTCTTCTTTATCTCTCTCTCTCCACCTGCCCCCACCCCCATACATACACAGAATTTTCCATACATCTGTTTTGCCCAGAGACACATAGGTATGTTTCCTTGTAGGTTAATTTAGGAGGAAACTCACCCCAATTTTGGCTGGTAGAGCACCTAACCTGAACTGAATCAGAAACCGCTTCACATGCCACATTTCCTTTTCCTTCCATAGCCAATTTACCCCTCTGCTCCCCCCACCCACCACACACCACTTACAGTCAGCAAAGGAAACCCTCCATTACCATCCTATGGAAACCCAAGGAGCCAGAGTTTGCAACATAACAGGAACATGAGGTTAGGATTTCTTTATTCCATAAGAAGGAATGAAGATCTCTAAGAGGGGCATAGGACTCCCAGGGAGGGAAGGCTGTGGGATGGGATGGGGGATGGAAAATCGAAGGAAAGGAGTAAAGCTGGGAGGAGTGAGGACTCTGGACGCCTAAAGAACAAGACCATGCTCACCCTCAAACAGTAGAAGGAAATGAGTTAACTAAAAAAAGTGATTCCTAGACCTCCGAATCTGACTCTGTAGTTCTTTAGGATGTTTATTTGAACCTTCAGAGAGGGAAGGGCTTAACCATCCATCTAAGACCAACACACGTTCTGGCAAGGAAGGAGGGATGACATGGTCCTTGGAGGCAGGCTGTGGTCATTTTCTGAGCCCCTGTGGTGTGTCAGCCCTTCACTTGTGCATCACAAGGTCCTCAAATAACTCCCCAGTCTGGGTCCCCAAGGCTGGTTCCCACACCTGTAGCAATTCCCCTGGGGCAAATCCCCCTGTGGCAATTCCCCTGGGGCCTTGCCTCAGTGGTTACAAGTACGTTGCTACAGGAAGAGACACCTGTGGAAAGAATGGGGAACAAATCACGGAAGCCTTCACCGTCCCCAGATACAGCCTTCCTCACAACAATCCTGTTGGTTGGAAATGCTTTTCTGTTTCCAAGAAGCATGACCTCTTCATGACAGTGGACAAAATGAGTTACTGTTTTCAAAGCATGTTTACAATTCTTTTTTTGACATTCACAACAATCATGTAAAGTAAGTCTCATTTGTTGTTCTATGGTAGATCTGTAGTTGGAAGGGCTAAGGTTCTGAAGGTGGGATCGGATTGAGACCTCTGGCCTTTGGCTCCAAATGCTGTACTCTTATCACTCTAGACCGCCCTTTTTGAGATGGAGTCTCACTCTTGTCGCCTAGGCTGGAGTGCAGTGGCGTGATCTTGGCTCAGTGCAACAACCGCCTCCCGAGTTCAAGTGATTCTCCTGCCTTAGCCTCCCAAGTAGCTGGGACTACAGGCACGCGCCACCATGCGTGGCTAATTTTTTTTGTATTTTTAGTAGAGACGGGATTTCACCATGTTGGTCAGTCTGGTCTTGAACTCCCGACCTTGAATGATCTGCCCACCTTGGCCTCCCAAAGTGCTGGGATTACAGGCGGGAGCCACTGTGCCTGGCCTAGACTCCCATTCTTGAAATATGGCAGACACTAGGCCTCTGCCAAACCTATTAGGTTGGTTACTTTTGCACTAATTTACTATCTCTGACACTATTTCTCCTTTTTCCGCTCCCCCTGTTCAGAAAACACCCCTAATGCATTTTCTGATATGCAGCAGAAAAGACATTGCAGTGGTTTTCAGGAGGGGCAGGTAGAACATCGATGAAAAATTCAGTGAGCTTTTAGCAAACAAAACTCTTGCAATCTAACAGTATTTGGCCACTTACCTAATCTTTTGCATATGGAAAAGAACTAAAGTGTGATGTTTGCCAACTGAGTAACAACAGAATTCTTTGTTGTAATTTTTACCATGGTTCCCAGAATTATTCATCACCCTATGAAGAGAATGCAAATGGGTACAAATAAATTTTCTTTGCTTCTCTTTCATTGAACTATGTTTTGTTCACTGAAAATGCCCTGGATGAAAACATAATTGAGGCACACTCTCAGGAACTGTTTCTCATGCTGGTTTGCAGAGGTTTCCTTCACTAACTAAAACAGTCATTCTACTTCATTAAAGTATTTATGGGAAGCCTCATGTCTTTTTCAATGTCATCCCAGTTTAAAGATTAAGGGAGGTTTGGGTCTCTGAAAAAATACAGGGAAGAATAGCATGGGCAAGGGTAGGGAGAGAAGGAAAGGAAAGAAGAAAAATACCAAACCAAAAACTGTAAATGCATCTGTTTACTCTGCTTAGCTTACATTGCAGCTATACAGAAACAGCACTCTAGTTTTCTCTTGGGTTCATTTTATAATGGAAAATGGGCTCAAACCAGCCATGAAATCTGACATAGGGGATTAGAGCTGGAAGAGACTCTAGAGATAATTTACTCAGTCCCATCCAGTCTCATTTTCCAGATAAGGAAGCTGAGGCTCAGTTAGGTCAAGGAGCTTGCCCAAGGTCACACAGCAAGTTGGCAGAGCAGCCATGGCTGGTATCCAATCCCTGGGGAGGCTCAAAGGCACAGTGGATACCAGCTTCCCCTAGGAGTCAGTGCTGGCCAGTCAGTCCTCCAAGAGCCAAAGCCCAACTTTAGTTTACTTGAAAGCCAAGAAACAAGGAAGTAGGCCAGGACACACCCTACTTCAACCCCTACTTTTGTGGGGTTTGCACCAAGAAGAATTTTCAAGCTGTCATACTCCTGATGTCATGTGCCTTCCTAAGAGTTTTGCCCTTAGGCTGCTGCCTGGGCTCCTCTCTGGATCACGAGCCAGGCCTTGTCTATTGCAAATATTTACAATCTCCATCCCTCCATTTCCCATCTCCTCTCTCCACACTTCCTCACACATGTAACACATGCTTGTCCGAGTTAACCACATAATCTAGAAGGAATGCATGTTTACTCTGCTTAACTTACATTACAGCTATACAAGTGGCACAGGATATGCCTAAATTAAACTAAAAGTAACCATCATGAACATCTGAAATCTAACTTCTGGCTATGTCACAACCACTTGATACTTCTTGCCCTGAGACTTTGCTTAATATCATAGGAATGTCAAATAAACGGAGCATGGTGGCTCGCGCCTGTACAAAAATTAGCCAGGCATACTGATGTGTGCCTGTAGTCCTAGCCACTCAGGAGGCTGAGGTGGGAGGATCACTTGAGCCCAGGAGGCAGAGGTTGCATTGAGCTAAGATCGTGCCACTGCAATCCAGCCTGGTTAACCCAGCGAGACTCAGTCTCAAAAAAAAGTCAGATAAATGCACATCTATTGCAGATCTCGTTAAAGTGGGATGGTAAAGTGCCAAAGAATCTTCTTATAAAGGTACCAGGATGTTACAATGGCACTCGGTCTAAGTTGTGGATCAGCCCCAGCACATGACAAGCAAGTACTCACTTCAAAGGACCTGCTCAGGAGTTGGTTAAAAACTAGTTTTGCACTGGGCGTGGTGGCTCATGCCTGTAATCCCAGCACTTAGGGAGGCTGAAGTAGGCAGATCATGAGGTCAGGAGTTTGAGACCAGCCTGACCAACATGGTGAAATCCTGTCTCTACTAAAACTACAAAAATTAGCCAGGCGTGGTGGCATGTGCCTGTAATCCCAGCTACTCAGGAGGCTGAGGCAGGAGAATTGCTTGAACCCGGGAGGCGGAAGTTGCAGTGAGCCGAGATCGCGCCACTGCACTCCAGTCTGGGCGACAGAGTGAGACTCCATCTCAAAACAAAACAAAACAAAAAAACAACTAGTTTTGTACTTATGGAATGCAGCTAAGCAGTGCTTAAAGAGAATTTCATAGCTATAAATGCATTTAAAAGGAAGAAAGAATAAAGGAAATATACATGAGTCCTACTGATAAAAATATTTAATAAATTAATAAATGACATATCTCGCCAGAAAAATTACAAATAAATTATGTAGATACTCCACCCTAAAGGAGGGGGCATCACTCCATACTACTTAAGTGTGGACTGCACACAGTGACTTCCTCCCAAAACGTACAGTATGGAAAGAGGATTAAAGAAAAAAATAGAGTAACTCTACAGTGGAGAAATCTGACAAACACTACCTCAGCCAGATGATCAAGGTCAACATCTATAGTCATAAATCATGCTGATAGTGTGTACCCGTAATGTGATATGATAAAAATGACACTTTACCTCTGTGAATTTTCTCCTAAAAACCTACAGCACCATTGTAATACTGAGAAAAACATCAGGCAAGTTTCAACAGAGGGACGTCTTACAATATACCTGATCAGTATTCCTCAAAACTGCTGAGGTCATTAGAAACAAGGAAATTCGGCCGGGCGTGGTGGCTCACGCCTGTAATTCCAGCACTTTGGAAGGCCGGTGGGTAGATTATGAGGTCAGGAGATCGAGACCATCCTGGCTAACATGGTGAAACCCTGTCTCTACTAAAAATACAAAAAATTAGCCGGGCGTGGTGGCAGGCACCTGTAGTCTCAGCTACTTGGGAGGCTGAGGCAGGAGAATGGTGTGAACCTGGGAGGCAGAACTTGCAGTGAGCCGAGATCACACCACTGCACTCCAGCCTGGGCGACAGAGTGAGACTACATCTCAAAAAAAAAAAAAAAAAAAAAAAAAAACAAGGAAAGTCTGAGAAACTGTCACAGTCAAGAGGGGTCTAAGGAGATATGGCAAATACAGTGGGCCCTTGAACAACACAGGGGTTGGGGGCTCTGGCTTCCGCCACCCCCCGTGCATTCAAAATTCCACGTATAACTCTTGACTCCCTGAAGACTTAACTACTAGTAGCCTACTGTCGATCAGAAGCTTTACCTATAACATAAACAGCCAATTAACACATACTTTGTAGGTTCTATGTGTTATACACTGTATTCTTACAATAAAGTAAGCTAGAGGAAAGAAATTATTAAGAAAACCATAAGGAAGAGAAACTGTATTTACTATTCATTAAGTATAAATAGAGTGTCCTAAAGATCTTCATCCTCGTCGTCTTCACGTTGAGTAGGCTGAGGAGGAGGAAGAAGAGGAGAGGTTAGTCTTGCTATCTCAGGGGTGGCAGAGGTGGAAGAGGTGGAGGAGGTAGATGGGGAGGCAGGAGAAGCAGGCACACGCACTGTAACTTTACAGAAATACATCATAATTTCTGTCTTTTTGCATTTTCATTTCTCTAAAAACATTTCTATACTACACCAGTCTTCCTTCCACCATTTGCTTTAGTTTTGGTGCCTGTCTCATGGAAGAGTCCGTGTTGTAAAAGAAGTCAAAAGCAGTCCTGAATAATCAGAATCCTGCCACCAGATTGTGTAAAATCAACTTGTTTTGTCTTCTTTCTTTTCTTTTGAGACGATTTCTCACTCTGTGGCCCAGGCTGGAGTGCAATGGCGTGATCTCGGCTCACTGCAACCTCCACCTCCTGGGTTCAAGCGATTCTCCTGCCTCAGCCTCCCAAGTAGCTGGGACTACAGGCACCCGCCACCATGCCCAGCTAATTTTTTGTATTTTTAGTAAAGATGAGGTTTCACCATGTTGGGTGGGCTGGTCTTCAACTCCTGACCCCAGGTGATTTGTCCACCTTAGCCTCCCAAAGTGCTGCAATTACAGGTGTGAGCAACCACACCCAGCCCAGCTTGTTTTCTGGCATTGCTTCTTCTATGTCTTCCTCTTCATCTGGCACTGGTTTGGAAGCACTCATCTCTGTCAAGTCATCTCCTGGTGCAATATCAAATAGCTCCTGAATTTCCCCCAGATCTATCTCTTGAAATCCTTCACCCACCCCACCTTTTTTTGACATATCCACAATCTCTTTCATGATTTCCTTGATTGACTCTGTCATAAATCCTGTGAAGTCATATATAACATCTGGACACAATTTTCTCCACAGGCATTTATTGTTTTGAGCTTGACGCCTTTCACAGCTTTTTCTACAACAATAATGGCATCCTCAAGGGTGTAATCCTTCCAAACATGTATGATGTTCTCTCTATAGGGGTTTATTTCATAGAATTGACAATCTTTTCTATAGAGTACCATGTTTAATCTGCCTTAAGGGTCCTTATGACCCCTTGGTCTGGAGGCTGAATTAGAGATATTGTGTTTGGGAAAAAGGAAGTCCCTTTCTGTCAAGGTGCCTTCTGACTTCAATAACAAATAATCGATGGAGCCAATCTAGGAAAAGGGTTCTAATTGCCCAGTCCTTCTTGCACAACCAAAGCCTGCCAACTGGTGTTTATCTTTTCCCTTCAAGCCTTGAGGGTTGGCAGCTTTATATATAAAGGCAATCTCATCATAAACCCAACTGCATTTGCACAAAACAGTTGAGTAGCCTATTCCTTCCTGCCTTAAATCCTGATGTTCACTTATCTTCCTTACTAATAAATGTCCTTCACAGCATTTTTAGCCAGAGTAGGGCACTTTCATCTACATTTAAAAATCTGCTCAAGCAGATATACTTTCTCCTCAATGATTTTCTTAATGGCATCTGGTAACTCATCCACTGCACCTTGGTCAGTGGAAGCTGCTTCTCCTGTTATATTGACACTGTTTTAAAGCCATACCTCTTTCTAAAGTTAACAAACCATTTTTTGTAGACATTAAATTCCCCAGCATTAGATCTTTCACCTTCCTTTTGCTTTAAGTTGTCATATAATGACTTCACTTTTTAAAAATTCATATTACAGCCTATAGGTATGCCTTTCTTATAGCCATCCTGCACCCACATACAAGCTGCATTTTCAATATGAGATTAAGAGGTATTTTGCAAAAAAAAAAAAAAAATGCAAGGTTTTGAGCACCCCAAATACTCTGACTTGATCATTACACAGTCTATGCATGTAATAAAATATCACATGTACTCCATAAATATGTATAAATATTATGCATCAATAACAAATTTTTAAAAAATTAAATAAAGGCGATTGATTTTTAAATGATGTGATAACATATGAAAATGTAAAACCATTCTAAAAATGTTAAAATATTTAATTGCAAATCAATAATCTATCTTAAGATGATGGAAAAAGAAGAGCAACTTAAATGCAAAACAAATAGAAGGGTATAATAAAGTTTAGAGCAGAAATAAATGAAATAGACAGTAGAAAAACAATAGAGAAAATCAATGAACACAAAAGTCAGTTACCTGAAAAGAGTTTAAAGTTTCAAACTTTCAACTTGACTGGCAGAGAAAAAGAGAGAGAAGACTCAAATTACTAAAACTAGGAATGAAGAGAGAACTTTAATTCCAATCCTACAGAAATAAAAATAATTATTAAAGAACACTATAAGGCTGGGTATAGTGGCTTACACCTGTAATCCCAGCACTTTGGGAGGCCGAGGCAGGTAGACCACCTGACCAGGAGTTTGAGACCAGCCTGACCAATATGGAGAAACCCCATCTCTACTAAAAATACAAAAAATTAGCTAGGCATGGTGGCGCATGCCTGTAATCCTAGCTACTCGGGAGGCTGACGCAGGAGAATCGCTTGAATCCAGGAGGTGGAGGTTGCAGTGAGCCAAGATCATGCCATTGCACTCCAGCCTGGGCAACAAGAGCAAAACTCTGTCTCTAAATAAATAAATAATAAAAGAACACTGTGAACAACTATATGCCAACAAATTAGATACCACAGATAAAATGGAAAAATATTTAGAAAGACATAAACTACCAAAACTGACTCAAGAATAAATAGAAAATCTAAATAGACATATAGTGAGTAAAGACATTGTACTTGAATAATAACAAAAAAAAGCTGTGAAGAAAAGCCCAGGCCCAGATGTCTTTACTACTGACTTTTACTAAACATTTAAAGAAGTAATACCAGATTTCCCAAACTCTTCCAAAATACAGAGGGGGAAAAACTACTTCCCAATTCGTGCTATAAGGCCAGTACTAGCCAGACATCAAAATGAGACAAACATATCAGAAGGAAAAAAAAAAACTCACAAACCAATAACTCATAAATATGGATACAAACATCCTCAATAAAATACTATCAAACCAATCCAGCAACACATATAAGAAATTATACACCATAACCAAGTGATATTTATCCCAGGAAAGCAAGGTTAGTTTAATATCCAAAAATCAATTAATATAGCATATTAATAGAATAAGAATAAAATCCACATGATGATCTCAATAAATGCAGAACTAAAATCTGAATAAATTCAAATCCTTTAATGATAAACACATGCAACAAATTAGGATTAGAAAGAAACTTCTTTAACCTGAAAAATGACATCTGTGAAAACCCAACAGCTAACATCTTACTTAAGGGTAAAAGACTGTATTGTCTTGATGTCTTGTCTTGATATTTATATTCAACATTGTACTGGAGGTCTTATCCATGACAATTAAACAAGAAAAAGAAATAAAAGGCATCCAGATTGGAAAGGAAGAGGTAAAACTCTATTTGCAGATAGCATGATCTTGTATACAAAAAAAAACCCTAAAAGATACACTAAAAATATTAGAATAAATGAATTCAGTAAAATTGCAATACAAGATCAATATACAAAAAAACAATTATATTTCTAAACACTTTCATTGAACATTTCAAAAATAAATTAAGAATACAATTCTATTTATAATAGCATCAAAAAAGAATACTTAGGAATAACTTCTACAGAAGTAGTACAAAACCTATATTCTAAAAACTACAAAACATTATGAAAAGAAATTAAAAGAATATCTAAATAAATGGAAAGATATCCAATGTTCATGGATAATTCCTATCAAAATCCCAGCTGGCTTCTTTACAGAAATTGATAAGCAGATCCTAAAATTTGTATAGAAATACAAGGGACCCAACACAGCCAAACTATCTTGAAAAAGAAGAACCAAATTGGACAGTTCCGTATTGTTTAACTCACTATAAAACTACAGTAATCAAGATAGTAAGATACTGACATAAAATAGACATATATATATATATATATATATATATATATATATATATCAGCAGAATAGAATTGAGAAATGAACCATTACATTTACAGTCAATTAATTTTAAACAAAAGTACCAAGACAATTTAATGAGTAAAGAATAGTCTTCAATAAATGGTACTGGGACAACTGTATATCCACATGCAAAATAATGAATTAAGACTCCTACCTCTTACCATATACAAAAATTAGCTCCAAATGGAACAAAGTTTCAGGATACAAAATCAATGTACACAAATCAGTAGCACTGCTATACACCAACAGTGACCAAGCTGAGAAGCAAACCAAGAACTCAACCTCTTTTACAATAGCTGTAAAACTAACAAACAAAACCTAGGGATATGGCTAACCAGGTAGGTGAAAGCCCTCTACAAGAAGAACTGTAAAACACTGCTGAAAGAAATCATAGATGACACAAACAAATGGAAACACATCCCATGCTCATGGATGGATAGAATCAATATTGCGAAAATAACCATACTGCCAAACACAATCTACAAATTCAATGCAACTCCCATCAAAATAACATCATCATTCTCCACAGAACTAGAAAAAAAAAATCCTAAAATTCATATGGACTAAAAAAGAGCCCACATAGCCAAAGCAAGACTAAGCAAAGAGAACAAATCCGGAGGCATCACATTACCCAACTTCAAACTATACTATAAGGCTATAGTCACCAAAACAGCATGATACTGGTATAAAAATAGGCACATAGGCCAATGGAACAGAAGAGAGAACCCAGAAATGAAGCCAAATACTTACAGCCAACTGATCTTTGACAAGGCAAGCAAAAACATAAAGTGGGGAAAGGACAGCTATTCAACAAACGGTGCTAGGATAACTGCCAAGCCACATGTCGAATAATAATACTGGATCATCATCTCTTACCTTATACAAAAATCAACCAAGATGGATCAAAGACTTAAATCTAAGACCTGAAAAAATAAAAATTCTAGAAGATAACATCAGAAAAACCTTTCTAGACTTTGGCTTAGGCAAAGAATTCATGACCAAGCAAATGCAAATGCAAATGCAACAAAATCAAAGATAAATAGATGGGACTTAATTAAACTAAAGAGCTTCTGCACCACAAAAGAAATAATCAGTAAACAGACAACCCACAGAGGGGGAGAAAATCTTTGCAAACTATGCCTGTGACAAAGGACCAATATCCAGAATCTACAAGGAACTCAAACAAATCAGCAAGAAAAAAACAAATAATCCCATCAAAATTTGGCTAAGGACATGAATAGACAGTTCTGAAAAGAAGATACACAAATGGCCAACAAACCTATTTTAAAAATGCTCAACATCACTAATGATCAGGGAAATGCAAATCAAAACCGCAATGTGATACCACCCTACTCCTGCAAGAATGGCCATAATTTTAAAATAAAAAACTAATAGATGTTGGCGTGGAAGTGATGAAAAGGAAACACTTTTACACTGTTGGTGGGAATGTAAACTTGTTCAACCACTATGAAAAACAGTATGGAGATTTTGTAAAGAATTAAAAGTAGATCTACTATTTGATCCAGCAGTCCCACCACTGGGTATCTAACCAGAGGAAAAGAAGTCATTATATGAAAAAGACACTTGCACACACATGTTTACAGCAGCACAATTCACAATTGCAAAAATACAGAACCAGCCTAAATGCCCATCACTCAATGAGTGGATAAAGAAAATGTTTTATATATATTATATATATATATATAATATATATGTGTGTATTTTATATACATATATATATATTTTGTACATATATATATATGGACCACTACTCAGCCATAAAAAAAGAATGAAACAATGGCATTCGCAGCAACCTGGATGGAGTTGGAGACCATTATTCTATGTGAGGTAAGTCAGGAATGGAAAACCAAACATGGTATGTTCTCACTTATAAGTGGGAGCTAAGCTATGAGGATACAAAAACGTAAGAATGATACAATGAACTGATGGACTCGGGGGAAGGGTGGGAGGGGAGTGAGGGATAAAAGACTATACATTGGGTACAGTGTACACTGCTCACATGATGGGTGCACCAAAATCTCAGAAATGACCCCTAAAGAACTTATCCATGTAATCAAACACCACCTGTTCCCCCAATAAAACCTATTAAAATAAAAAAAATAGTAATAGGCCAGGCACGGTGGCTCACGCCTGTAATCCCAACACTTTGGGAGGCTGAGGAAGACAGATCACCGGAGGTCGGAAGTTCAAGACCAGCCTAACCAACGTGGAGAAACCCCATCTCTACTAAAAATACAAAAAATTAGCCAGGGATGGTGGCACATGCCTGTAATCCCAGCTACTTGGGAGGCTGAGCCAGGAGAATCGCTTGAACGCAGGAGGCAGAGGTTGCAGTGAATGGAGATCGCACCATTGCACTCCAGCCTGGGCAACAAGAGGGAAACTCCATCTCAAAAAATAATAATAAATAATAATAACAATAAATAAAACCTCAAAAAAAATACAATTGTAAGTAGAGACATAACCTCATAAAATATGGGCAAAGAATATGAATAGAAATTTCTCCATACAATGGAATATTATTTGGCAATAAAAAAGTGAGGTACTGACTCGTGCTACATGAATGAAGCTTGAGAAGTCATGTATAAGAAGCCAGTCATAAAAGTCTTCATATTGTATGATTCCATTTACATGGAAGATGCAGAATAGAAAAATCCACAGACAGAAAGTAGACTAGTGCTTGTCTAGGGCTGGGCGTGCTAGTGAGGGGAATAAGGCGTTTCTGCAAATGGGTATGGAATCTCTTTTTCCGCTGATTAAAAATCTTCTAAAATTGATTTGGTGATGGTTGTAAAATGCTAAGAATATCCTAAAAATCACTGAATTGCACACTTTAAAAGGATGAGTTGTATTGTATGCAAATTATATTGCAATAAAACTTGTTTTTAAGTTTTGCAAGTCTTAGCTGACCAACCACCATGCAGTCTCTAAGAATCTGGAGAAACCAAGACAGATGTTAGAGATAAAAGATCAAAGGAGAGAATTTCCCCCATGGGTATAAGGTGGGGCTACCTTTCCTTCACTTCAAGATCAGTGAGAGACCACTCCAGAAGCTTGATATGAATCCCTGGGGTGTACAGTGGCATAGACCTGAAAAATCTAACAGGCAGGAAGCTGGAGGCAGCAAGGGAGAGCTATGGCTGGGATGAACCTGCACTTGCACTTCTACCAACAATGGGACCAAGTCTCCTGCTTTCTGGGAAGGTTGTATGCATAAGAGTCATTTAGGCATGGCTTACATCCTGCCTGAGGACTGCATGGAGGGACAGAATTGTTCTATGTGCTATCCAAAGGCTGAGGGAGGAATCATGAGTGCATAGAAAGAGGATATATGCCCCTTCAGGAAAGGAACTACCCAGGTGAAAGCCAACTTTAGACATCTACCTCGTCCACCTTCAAACACAGTGCCAGCCATGGCTGGGATTAGAGCAAGGGAATGAAGCAGTTCAGGTGAGCACAAAATTTAAGAGGATACGAAAAAAGTCAATAATCAAGATAAATAATATTTTGACACAATATTTTAAAAATTAAAATTAAGGTAAAAACATCCATGATGAACAAAATATCAAAATGTTAAATAAAGGTAGGATCAATAATGGTGCTGCACCAATCCATAATGGAACCTGAGGCAAAAGAAAAAAATGTATGTCCTATACACAGGCACACCTCTAAACGATTGCAGGTTCAGTTTCAGCCACATCAGTAGAGCAAATAGTGCAATAAAGCAAGTCACCTACAGTTTTTGGTTTCCCAGTGCATGTAAAAGTTATGTTTATGTTTATACTTAATAGACTAGTATGCTGTAATATGCTAGTCTATTCATGTATATATGTAATATACTAGCCTCAGTATATTCTAAGTATATACTATACTAGTATCTTAATAGACTAGTATACTATACTAGTCTACTAAGTGTGCCATAGCTTCATGTCTAAAAAGCAATGTATATACTTTAATTTTAAAAATACTTTACGCTAAAGAAATGTTATAAATCATCTGAGCCTTCAGTGGGTCATAATATTTTTGCTGTTGGAGGGTCTTGCCTCAACACTGATGGCTGCTGACTGATTTGTGTAGTGGTTGCCGAAGGGTGGGGTGGCTATGGCAATTTCTTAAAATAAGACAGTGAAATTTGCCACATTCATTGACTTTTCCTTTCACAGAAGATTTCCCTGTAGCATATGATACCATTTCATAGAATTTTACTCACAGAAGAACTTCTTTCAAAATTAAGGTCATTTCTCTCAAACCCTACCGCTGCTTTATCAGTTAATTTTATGTAATATTCTAAATCTTTTGTTGTCATTTCAATAATGTTCTCAGCATCTTCACCAGGAGTAGATTCCATCTCAAGAAACCACTTTCTTTGCTCATCCATGAGAAGCAACTCCTTATCCATTCAAGTTTGACAGAGGTATTGCAGCAATTCACTATCATTATCATCAGGCCCAACTTCAAATTCTAATTCACTTACTATTTTCACCACACTTGCAGTGACTCCCTCCACTGAAGTCTTCAGCCTCTCAAAGTCACCCATGTGGGTTGGAATCAACTTCTTTCCAACTCCTGCTAATGTTGATATTTTGACCTCCTCCTATGAATCATGAAAGTTCTTAATGGCTTCTAGAATGGTGAATCCTTTCCAGCAGGGTTTCAATTTATTTTGTCCAGATCCATCAGAGGAATCACTATCTCTGGCAGCTATTAACCTTATAAAATGTATTTCTTGAATAAGACTTGGAAATCAAAATTACTCTTTGACTCATAGGCTGTAGAATGGATATTGTGTTAGCAGGCATGAAAACAACATGCCTTGTACTTCTTGTACATCTTCATCAGAGCTCTTGGGTGACCAGGTGTGCTGTCAATGAGCAGTAATATTTAGAAAGTAATCTTTTCTTCTGTGCAGTAGGTTTCAATTGTGGGCTTAAAATATTCAGTAAGCCCTGCTGTAAACAGATCCAGGCTTTGTTGTTCCATTTTTAGAGCACAGGCGGAGGAGATTTAGTATAATTTTTAAGGGCCCTAGAATTTTTGGAATGGTAAGTGAGCATTGGCTTCAACTTTAAGTCACCAGCTGCATTAGCCCCTAAAAAGGGTCAGCCTGTCCCTTGAAGATTTGAAGCCACTATTGACTTCCCTCTCTAGCTATGAAAGTCCTGGATGGCATCTTCTTCCAATAGAAGGCTGTTTCATCTACACTGGAAATCTGTTGTTTAGGCTTGGCCATCTTCATCAATGATCTTAGCTAGATCTTCTGGATAACTTGCTGCAGCTTCAACATCAGCATTTGCAGCTTCACCTTGCACTTTTACGTTATAGAGATAGCTTCTTTCCTTAAATCTCATAGCCCACTCCTGCTAGCTTCAAACTTTTCTTCTGCATCTTCCTCACCTCTTTCAGGTTTCATAGAACTGAGGAGAGTTAGAGCTTTACTCTGGATGAGGCTTCGGCTTAAGGGAATGTTGTGGCTGATTTGATCTTCTATCTGGACCACTAAAACTTCCTCCATATGAGCTGTAAGGATGTTTTATTGTGTTCGCTGGAAGTAGCACTTTTAATTTCCTTCAAGAACTTTTCCTATGGATTACCACTTGGCTAACTGATGCAAGAGGCCTGGCTTTCCACTAATCTCTGCTTTCAACCTGCCTTTCTCACTAAGTTTAATAACTCCTAGCTTATTATTTGGAGTGAAAGATGTGTGACTCTGCCTTTCTCTGGAGCTCTTAAAAGACACTGTAGAGTTATTAACTGGCCTAATTTCAATATTGTTGTTGTCTCGGGGAACAGTCAGTGGGACAATCAGAACACACACATTTATGAAGTTCACTGGTCTTCTGTGGGTACAGTTCATGGAGCCCCAAAACAATTGCAATAGTAACATCAAGGATCACTTATCACAGATCATCATAACAGATATAATAATCATCTGAAAGTTTGAAATATTGCAAGAATTACCGAAATGTGACCCAAAGACATGAAGTGACCACACGCTATTGGAAAAATGGCACCAACAGACTTGCTTGATGCGGGGTTGCTACAAACCTTCCATTTGTAAAAAAAAAATATGGTATCTTTAAAGCACAATAAAGCAAAGGGCAATAAAATGAGGTATGCTTGTAATATATGTTTAATGTATGTTTTTAATGTTTTTTCCAGAACATTAACACTGTTGAAAAATATGAAAAAATTACAAAGTTATTGAAACCACATTACTTTAAATTTAAATATTTTATTTATATCCCAAATAGAGTTATCATTTTAATTTACTGGCCTTAATGAACACAAACTTATCAATATTTTCAAAATCAACTTCTTCACTTACCTCGTTTTTAATTGAGAGAATTGCTGTGCTTGACAATTTCTCTTGACTAAGCAATAATGCAAAATAATTTTTAAATTAATTTCAACTTATTCTGTCTTTGTTTAAAATTTTGACATATTGCTCATCATGGATTTTTGCATTAATTTTAGTTCTTTAAAATTTTGCATTAAAATGTTATGTATTTTGTTTACAGTTTTGGGGGCCCCTTAAGTTTTATGTCCTAATCCTGGCTCTGATGTTAGACATGTCCATACTTGTTAGGTAAGACCTCTCTTGACATCTTCACTCTCCCCTCTCTTCCCTGCTTTTCCTGAAATGGTCAGAAACTTGGTTATCACACTGAGGAAGGTGGATAGGGAGCATTAGTGTAAGTGCTAAGTTGAGGAATCTTGAAGAATTCAGTTAGCTCCTGTAATATGTTAGAGTTCTCCAGAGAAAGAGAACCAGTAGTAGATAGGTAAGTAGGTAGGTAGGTAGATAGATAGATAGATAGATAGATAGACAGACAGACAGACAGACAGATACACACACACAGCCATGTGTCACTTAATGATGAGGTTGGTTCTGAGAAATGCATCATTAGGCAATTTCATCATTGTGCGAACATCATAGACTATACTTACACAAACCTAGATGGTATAGCCTACTGTACACCCAGGCTATATAGTACAGCCTATTGCTCCTAGGCTACAAACCTGTACAGCCTGTTACTATACTAAATACTGTGGGCAACTGGAACACAATGGCAAGTATTTGTATATCTATACATAGAAAAGGTACAGTAAAAATACCATATTATAATCTTTTGGACCCACCATTGTACTACACACTGTCACTATCATAATGTGAGACATGACTGTGTGTGTGTATATATATATATGTAAAATATATATGTAATGAAACTTCTCAGCCTTTATAATCCCATGAGCCAATACCTTATAATAATTTTATATATCTTTATGTATCTAATATATATCATATATACCCTATGTATACATATATATGTCCTATAAACATATATAGACACATACTAGATACAGATATAGATTATAAGGGTTTGGCTCACGTGATTATGGAGGACAAGAAGTCCCACAATCTGCAGGCTGCAAGCTGGAGGCCCAAGAAAGCCAGCAGTGTAGTTCCAAAGCCCAAAGGCCTGAGAACCAGCAAAGCCAAGGGTATAGGTCCCAGTCCAAAGTCCCAAGAACACCAGTGTCCAAGAGCAGGGTATGATGGATGTCCCAGCTCAAAAAGAAAGAGCAAAGTTCCCCTCCCCTCCCCTTCCCTTCCCTCCTCCAAAAAGAGTAAAATTATCTTACTTGTTTGTTCTATGTAGGCCCTCAAAAGATTGGATAATGCCTACTGGCCTTGGTGAGGGCAGTGTTCTTTACTCAGTTTACTGATTCAAATGCTAATCTCTTCCAGTAACATCCTCACAGGTACACTGAGAAATAATGTTTTACCAGATAGCTGGGCATCCCTTAGCCCAGTCAAGTTGATACATAAAATTAATTATCACAGATCATTTTTCTTGAAACAGGTCTGAGCTAAGGAAGAAGAGAACCTTTACCTAAACACAGTTGGAGATTTGACTACTTAATCCTAACTGCTAAGATGCAACTGATTTTGTGACTTGATATCACCAGATTTTTTTTCTTATCTGAGAGTAACCAAAAAATTTGAGGCCTGCCCTAGATTTCATCCAAGAGTCAGGAAAGTAGCTCCCCAGAGCAGAGTTGAGCCCGGAGCTGGGATTGGGGCCACCAATACATTGCTTTGGGCTACACCTGAGAAGTCAATTTTTTTTTTATTCATTGCATTGGTTATATAAGGTTCCCACTCCAGAGAGCAGTCCTGTAAAAGCAAAGAATATCACAGTGACTCTCTAGCACGTAATGTTTTCATTCTTCTCAAACCTCTGAATTTAGGTAGACCAGATTCATTTTCTGAAAAATGTGCTATTTTTCAACGCTATTTCCATCACTGCAATAAAACACTTAATTTTCTTGTCCCTTTACAATGAGTGATCCATAATGCTATTTCTGCACATACTGAAGTTTGAGCTATTCATTTCTTCTTCTGATCTTTTAATCAAAAGCTAAGAATAAGGCCTTCTCTAAACTGACAATATCACTCTAATAGAATGAATTTTAAAATCAAGAAATCCCTCCAGTTACTTTCTTTTCCCCTTCCCCAATCACAGTGTTTCCTTTTCAATCTCATTCAACATTATCTTAGTTTTAATATCTTCCCTTTCAAGTATATTCCACAGTAATTTCCTAGGGGAATGCTGAGTCTTCTGTATTACATATCTCTATTAGCTTTTAAGTCTCTCTTCACCAGGAACACTTCTAGTGCAATAACCCAATTATTTCGAGGAAGATTGGAAAAGGAAAAGCTAGCAGAGAAGACAATTATGTTTGTGTGAAGTGGAGTTAGTGCAACTGGCTTGAAAGTTTCGTGACAAAGGAAGGCTGACTCTAGTCCTTTAGGGAGTTTAAGAAATAGAAACTAAAAAGGGTGGCTGCTGAAGTTTGCAAAGTTCACTCACCTTCTATGCCACGAGTATTGCCATAGGCTATAGCATGCTGACAATCATTATTGTCAGGAAGCCAATGGAAAGGTTTTAACCCCAAGCATAGTTTACCCAGGGATGGCATATTCGCATGCCAACAGGAACCCCAGAGGCCAAGTCAGTGCACGAAGCTGGCTGGGTTTAAGAAAGCTCTGTGTGTTAAAAACATAGGAATGGCCTTTATTTTCACATAGAAATATGCTCTCTCTTACTTCCTGAAATACACAGCCCCTTTGGTCTTTTTCCATTTTTGATAGGATTATGCTACTTTCTCTTAATGCTTCTATAAGAAAAATAACAAGGTGAGTGTGATGATAAGCAGCAATTTACAATGTCAGGTAGAAAATAGAGAATAATAAGAACTAGGAAGGACTGGAGAGTGCGTCCAGTGGGGCAGCTGCCACCCAGCACCAGCCTTGTTGAAGTGATGTCATTTGTCTGGGGTGATACCCAAGGTTTGCAGCCTCATGCTGAGGAAATCAAGGACGTGGACACACAAGGAGTGAGGTTAAGAGCAGAGGTTTAATAGGTGAAAGAAAGAGAACTCTCTGCAGCAGAAAGAGGTCCTGGGGAAGTGGGTTGCTGCTTCCGCAGTGGAATGCAAGGGGTTTTATAGATGAGCTCGAGGAGGTGGTGTCTGATTTACATAGGGCATGAAAGATTGGTTGGACCAGCTGTGCCATTTGCATAGGGCACAAAAAACTGGTTAGGGCTAGGTGTGCCATTTGCATAGGACATGAAAATCTGGCCACCCCACACCCTAATGTTTTATTATGCAGATGGGCTCTCTGCCTGGCCAATGCCATGTTGCCTGTTTCTTTACTGTACACGTGGTGACAAAGAAAAGGGAAGATGGAGCCTCCATGTTGAACATACCTCGCCCCCAGGTGGCCTTTTTCTATTGGCACAGCTGCCAACATTCACCCATGCAAGCTTCCAGCTTATCTATGTCTGCAGCTCCATCTTTCAGGCTGCTCTTTATCAGAAAGGAAATTATTTGGGGGGCTTCTTTTTTGTTAAAAAGGGAAATTCTGCTGAGGGCTCTTTGACCCTCACTACCTGCCCAAATAATTTCTTTCTAGCTCCTATATCATTGTTACTATGTGGGAACATTGGCTTCTGTAGTCAAGTATTTCTATGACCAAGAATCCGTATATTTATGTCTTCCATCCACTCCTAAATGTTGGTTCTTCTTTTTTAAAAAAAAAACACTTTACAGGCCCATACTGATGGATTAAAACAACCCTGTCTACAGGTTCTACAGGTTGGATTTTACCGGAGTAGTAAAAGTTTGTAAGATCTACTATACACCCTCAGAAATTTTGTCATGTTCAGCTAAATATTTGCATGAAAAAGTACCTAAAGGATCTTCTGTTTAATCTCTTTTAATTAGAAAGATATAACCATATATATATACATATATACACACATCATATATATATAAAGTAAATTCAGGCTAACCCCATATTGGACAGGAGACTCAGTAAGCCTGGTTCAATCATTCAGCCCCAGCTGCCTCACACCCAGGGGTACACTCATGAGAGAAGCAGCTCAGTTACAAATCAACACCTGCAATTCAAAGTGAGTTTTGATTTGGGATTAATATTTGAAACCATTGTTTATTTTCTTGCTTTTTTTTGTTTTGTTTTGTTTTGTATTTTGTTTTGTTTTGAGACAGAGTTTTGCTCTTGTCACCCAGCGTGTGTACAATGGTGCTATCTCAGCTCACTGCAACCTCCACCTCCCAGGTTCAAGCGATTCTCCTACCTCAGCCTCCCAAGTAGCTGGGACTACAGGCGCCTGCCACCATGCCCAGCTGATTTTTGTATTTTTAGTAAAGAGGGGGTTTCACCATGTTGGCCAGGCTAGTCTCGAACTCCTGACCTCAGGTGATCTGCCCGCCTCAGCCTCCCAGAGTGCTGGCATTACAGGCATGAGCCACCGCACCAGGCCCCGTTGCTTATTTTCTTTGTTCACAGCTTCCTAGTACATGTATGGTAGGTTACTCCTGGCCAGAAGCCACTTGGGCTTCCTGTTATATTTGAGTTTCTGCTTCTCTGAAGGGTGACTGCAAAGCTCTTTAAGAACCTCAAAAGTAAAATTGAACTTCCAGAGTCAAATGGAGGCACATCACATAACTTTCATTTTTTAATTTTTAATTTGTATCATTATTATTATTTTTTTGAGACAGAGTCTCGCTCTGATGCCCAGGCTGGAGTGCAATGGCATGATCTCTATCTTCACTGCAACCTCCACCTCCTGAGTTCAAGTGACTCTCCTGCCTCAGCCTCCTGAGTAGCTAGGGTTACAGGTGCCCGCCACCACACCTAGCTAACTTTTGTATTTTTGTATTTTTAGTAGAGACAGGGTTTCACCAGGTTTCACCATGTTGGCCAGGCTGGTCACAAACTCCCGACCTCAGGTGATCCGCCCCTGCCCCCAGCCTCCCAAAGTGCTGGGATTACAGGCATGAGCCACCATGCCCAGCCATAAATTTTATTTTGGGCCATCCAAGTATGCCTTCCAAACTTCATATTCATATGAAGTGTTAAGATACATCAGATATCAGGCCAGGCGCAGTAGTTCACACCTGTAATCCCAGTGCTTAGGGAGGCAGAGGCAAGAGGATCACTCCAGCCCAGAAGTTTGAGATCAGCCTGGGAAACACAGTGAGACCCTGTCTCTACAAAAATATTTTAAAATTAGCCAGGCACGGAAGCACACACCTGTAGTTCTAGCTGTTTGGGATGCTGAGGCGAGGAGATCTCTTGAGCCCAGGAGTTTGAGGCTGCAGTAAGCTATGATCATGTCACTGTACTCCAGCCTGGGTGTCAGAGCAAGACCCTTTCTCAAAAAAGGAAAAAAAATATATATATATATCAGAAATCTCATTGTTTTAAAAAGATTTTCCATGGAAGAACGATGACATCATGTTTGGTTGTATGTGACCTGTGGACGAGTTGTCTGGGGACAACAGGGTGTTGCCTCAGAAGCTTATAAGGCAATAAGGTAGAGGCTGTAGTGAGTTGTAATCACGCCACAGCACTCCAGCCTGGGTAACAGAGTGAGACCCTGTCTTGGGAAAAAAGAAAGAGAGAGAGAGAGAGAATTTTACAACTTTACTGAAACATTTGAGATTGACAGTCACTGATAATCCTGTTAGATTTATTAGATTTGTTAGCTGTGTTTAAATACTTGGGAAAACTGCTACTTTGTTTAGACATTTTAAAAGCTTTTAAAATAAAAAGGGATATATTACCTTTATAAATAATGTTTAAAAGATTTAAAAGAATTGTATTGACTGGGTTAAATAGGATTATTTGATAAATAAAAATATAAGACATATATAGAACATAAAAGTTTAGAGAAAAACTAAGCTTCTGAATTTGTAACATTAATAAATCAACTATTTATTTCAAAACCCCAATTAGTACCAAATAACCCTGAAGGATAGCAGAAATGTTGTTCTGGCTTAGAGCAGAAGCTTCCGGAAACCATCACCCTAATTTTTATCATGAGCTGTGTGACCTGGGATTAAGTCTCTCTATCGCTATGGTCCTTAAGTTTTCTCTTCATTTATAAAACAAAGGCAGTGGCCTAGCTGGTCCCTAAGGCACCTTCCAGATCTGACATTTCAGAATTCCCAGGCTGCCTGTTCCATTTGCCATCCGTTCTGACATGCTGCTGATTTGACAAGTTGCTCAGGAAGGCTGCCCCACCTTGATAAGAATCCTGTTTGGCTGTTCTCCAGGGAATCTTTTAGTTTATGGCTTTTGATAACATCCTACTTACTTGTTTATTTTTAAACCTTAAGAAAATGCTTCCTTCCCCAAACCCAGCTAGGACAATAGGACACACCATAAACAGGGAAAGCCTCATGTGCATAACTTTCTGACTCTTCTTTCCCCATCTTGTTCAAGAAAAGAGCCCTATCTTGACCTAGACTTTCTGAATCTGAAAACCAATTATTTATTTCACCTTGTTCACACGATGTCAAAATACCAATCAGGAAAGTCCATTCTATTCTCAAGTCAGTCAGATCAAAGAAGGTGAACAATTCAAACAGTTCAGGAAGACTCTAATGACCTTGCAGGTGAAGCAACCAGCGGTTTGTATTTGTGGCTGGTTATTAGCTGAGGCAGCCCTTCCAGCCGGTAGTATTGACCATGGGCAAAATTATGATGTCAGAGAGGTTATTCCCACATGCTGATGGCATCTCCCACTTCTTAGGGGGTTTCTCTGAAATCTTTCCTTGGCAGTTTTCTTCCCCTCCATCAGTCCCTTCAGTTGTATTCCAATCTCATTGATTTTGCCCTGGGGCAGTTCTCACAGCCACCATGTTTTAACTGTGTGACCGACTGAATAGACCATGTACTGCCTAACACCATGAACCGCAAGGTCCCTCCCCCGCAGGGATGTGCAATGACCCTTTGGGTAACCTTGGACAAGTTTGACTTCTCTGAGCTCCAGTTTCTTCTAAAAAGGGGTAGTAATATCTCTTTCACATGATAGCTTTGAGGATAGCTTTGATCTCATTAGATAGAGTATATAAAGTACTTAGCATGGAAGCTAGCACAAAGTAAGCACTCAATAAATGGCGTCTCAATAATTATTAATAAGTTATAAATTTGAAAGATCTTCAACACATATGTGGAATTTCCATCAGAAAAAAGTCGCTTACCATCCAGTAAGGCTGCTCCTACGGCAGCACTGTGGGAAGGAGCTGTGTCATCACTACCTAGTTAGATACTGAGGTTGACAGATAGGGAACCATGGTGCCTCTTGGGAGAGCAGAGGTGGGGTCACTTCATCTTGAATAACCACAGTTTTCTTAACCATAAAACAAAGATCATTATAATATTGACTTTGTAGAGTTGGCCTGAATATTAAATAATTACGTAAAATGTTTCACACAGACCCTGGCACATTGGAAGAGCTTGATAAATGTTAGCAATGATTACAAAGTAAGCTCCAGCCGAGCACAGTGGCTCATGCCTGTAATCCCAGTACTTTGGGAGGCTGAGGCAGGCAGATAGCTTGATCTCACGAGTTCGAGACCAGCCTGGGCAACATGGTGAAACCCCATTTCTATACAAAAGAAAACATAAAAATTAGCTGGGTGTGGTGGTGTGTGCCTGTAGTCCCAGCTACTCAGGAGGCTGAGGTGGGAGGATCACTTGAGCCCAGGAGGCAGAGGTTGCAGTGAGCCAAGATCACGCCACTGCACTCCAGACTGGGTGATAGAGCCAGACCTTGTCTAAAAAAAAACAACAAAAAAAAGAAGTTCCTTGAGTTCTGGCTTGTTTTCTAATACATCCAACGTTAAAAATAGTTCCATGTGGCTGCTCAATAAACATTTCTTGAATATATTATAATATTGTCATTGTTACCTTTGGGAAATTAAACAAGAAAAATCAATCCTTAATGGAGAAGATTGTGTTTCTGTGTGGACACAATGCAGGGTTTTTAGGAGGATCCTTAGGAAAAACCAAAGGATTTGTAAAACTTAATTCGGGAGTGAGAATGCAGTCCCAGAAGATGTATAGAAAGGTGGAGGCTTGGCCGGGCGCGGTGGCTCACGCCTGTAATCCCAGCACTTTAGGAGGCAGAGGCAGGCGGATCATGAGGTCAGGAGATCGAGACCATCCTGGCTAACACAGTGAAACCCCGCCTCTACTAAAAATACAAAAAATTAGCCGGGCATGGTGGCGGGTGCCTGTAGTCCCAGCTACTTGGGAGGCTGAGGCAGGAGAATGGCGTGAACCCGGGAGGTGGAGCTTGCAGTGAGCCGAGATTGTGCCACTGCACTCCAACCTGGGTGACAGAGCGAGACTCCGTCTCAAAAAAAAAAAAGAAAGGTGGAGGCTTAGTTAGCAAACTCCACAATGTAAACAAAGAACCTGTGCTAGCAGAGGGATTGGTGGTTTTAATGAAAGCTAGGAGGTTGGAGACAAATGCGACTGCTGAAGAGGCGGCTTCTGCCCTTCCTGTCTGATGTGTCTTCAGTATTGGAAGCAGATGCATCAGGCTGTGGGTTTGATGACAGTAACCACTGAAGTCAACCAACTACCCCACCTTGTCCTGAAATTGGCTCCCAAAGCAGCCTTTTGTTTGTAATTCATGGTTGCAAATGAGAAATGTTCTGGCAGGTTTGTCTTACACAATGATTTTTAAAACTTTTATAAATTAGTTGCTAATATTTATAAATCAGGAAATGACTCCTATAAATCTGAATCTCCAACTTCTGAAAAATCAGAAGGTCTGGCCACATCAAACCCTGAGTAGCAAGAATTAGGTGGAGATTATATTGGCTGCATATTTTAGAAGGGGAATAGAGTCCCCTGTTCAGCCCACTCCCAACAACTCCCTTTCACCTCACACCTGCTCAATTCATTTCTTTACCTACCTTGCTTCATAGGCATTTTCAGTTTTCTATCCCTCCAGAGAGCCAACGTGCTAATTAGCTGATATAGTATGTTGACTGTTATGTTTCTTGCTCCAAATTAGTGAATTGTTACTGAGGCTTTTGCATTTGTGTCTTGTCAGTTTGACTAGTGTGAGTCAGTACTTTGGGCCTCTTCACCTCTGAACACACAAACCAAAATCAAATGTATGGACCTGCTCAGGCTGAGGCTCAGGCTCTGCCTGACTTCCCAAGAGATCCGCTCTCAGCTGACGCTAACTATTCTCTGATTAGCACTCTTCAACTTACCAATTGTCTTCATGGATTCCTCAAAGCACAGAGAACAAACTGTCAAACAATGTCTGAAGGGCAGCACAATCATTCACCAGCTGAGTTGCAAATAAGACACTGACCCAGTTAATCTGTGAACCTACTGCAGAAGCTTGGGAAAGCTCTGCTGGTTTATGATTGTCCTTGAAGGACTCAGGCTTAGATGTCGCCTCTTTGTCTTGCGCATAACAAAGGCCAATGGAAATTGCTATCGACAGACTCATTCCTGCCTTGGTTCCCTTGCCATCTCTTTGTGGCTTCCTTCATTAGCTCTTTTTTCTTCTCAGAGAAAGTCCATGACCTTGGAGGTCTGCATTTCCTTTCTGAATCTGCGCCATCACCGCTGTAATGGAATGAGTGTGTCTTTCTGCTACCCCAGGATCTGTGGCCAAACAGAAACCACAGATGCCCTCTCAGCTTGTCGCCTATCTTTCTTGTTTCATCTCAGCTGGAAAGGGTCTTTGCAATTCACACTTTTTTTTCCTCTTCTCACATCAGAGCAAAAGCAAACATTAATTTAAAGAGCATCTTTTTATAATAAGAAAAACCTTCGACTTTCAACACAACCAGAAAGGAAGCCATTTGTCCATGCCGAGAATGAGCTATCAGCATGTGCTCAGTATTACTTCTCCACTGGGGGTGATAGATACACACTGAGCCATCTGTACTTCTCCACCAGTTCTCAGGACCAATGCTTGGCATTTGCAAGTCACATTAGGAGGATTATTTGTGGCCAGACACTGAAGCTAACAGGTTTAAGGACAGACTAAACCCTTGGCTTCATTACTGTTGCTCCAACCACTACAGTGACTAGCCCAGACATCCATGCACCTTCACAGGCAAAATATCTCAGTCACTTCTCTTTTTCTTTACAGTAAGAAAATAAATATGAGGCCAGGCACGGTGGGTCACACCTGTAATCCCAGCACTTTGGGAGGCCGAGGAGGGCGGATCATTTGAGGTCAGGAGTTCGAGACCAGCCTGGCCAACATGGTGAAACCCTATCTCTACTAAAAATATAAATATTAGCTGGGCATGGTGGCACACGCTAGTAATCCCAGCTACTCAGGAGACTGAGGTAGAAGAATCACTTTAACCCAGGAGGCGGAGTTTGCAGTGAGCTGAGATGGAGCCACCGCACTCCAACCTGGACAACACAGCGAGACTCTGTCTCAAAAAAAAAAAAAAAAAGAAAAAAGAAAAGAAATATTGAAAATGATATACTCTTCTTTGTGTAGAAAATAACCTTGTATTGTATTCTACAAGTGGGAGGTAGAAATGTCTGCAGTGTGTACTGCTATGTTAATAGATTTTTCTGACAATGTCAGGTTGATTATCCACCTAAGGTATGGTCTATAAATCTGCTTACTGCCCATCCTTCCCCTGGAGAAGCCTAAGAATAAAAGGAGCTTGAAGAAAGCAGCTCTCAACAGCCTCAGGGAACTGCTACTTTGCTTACATTTCTATGGCTCTTCCTGAGTCCCCATGTGTGAAGTCTTTATTTCTTAGATATGCTTGGGACACAGCCATTGCCTTATTTGCTCAAAAGGCTCAGGACCAAGAAGCTTAAGAAAAGTCAAGGAACTCGTAGTTAAAAGGAAGTTGGAAGTTTTCTCTGAGCCCTTGTGACCTTGAGATCCATAAAGGAGTTAAATGTCCATTTGTCTGAAAGGTAAGAATTTAAATGTCTTTGACTTCAGAAAATTAGATGTGCCTTCACATCTTTTCATAAGTAACTTCACAGCTGTAGAAACCTCTAAAGAGAGATAACATACGTTTCCCTTCTCTTCAAAATGTCCACACAAAGGTTCTTCTTCCATGGTTTGAAATTTCTCAAATCTTCACCTTTCCATTTGAAAGTGAGTATGACCAGGTTATCCAAAAACAGGGAAGCATATGGGTAGGACCACTCAGACCTGATCCCCACTTTCCAGTGTGAACCCCAAATATCCGAGACAGGTCTCAGTTAATTTAGAAAGTTTATTTTGCCAAGGTTGAGGATGCACGCCTGTGACACAGCCTCAGGAGGTCCTGACGATGTGTGCCCAAGGTGGTCAGAGCACAGTTTGGTTTTATACATTTTAGGGAGACATGAAACATCAATCAAGATATGAAAGATGAACATTGGTTCAGTCTGGAAAGGCAGGACAACTCGAAGCAGGAAGGGGGCTTCCAGGTCATAGATAGGTGAGAGACAAACAGTTGCATTCTTTTGAGTTTCTGATTAGCCTCTCCAAAGAAGGCAACCAGATATGCATTTATCTCAGTGAGCAGAGGGGTGACTTTGAATAGAATGGGAGGCAGGTTCCCAGCTTGAATTTTCCCTTTATCTTAGTGATTTGGGGGGGCCAAGATTTATTTTCCTTTCACACCAGGATGAGACAAGGGAGCATCTCTTAAAGCTAGAAAGAGCTAGCTTGGTAGCAAATAGAAGATTGAAACTCTAGAAATATAGTAGGTGCTGAAATCAATAGAAATGAATGATTGAAATAATAACCAAGCCAATAACAAACAGGTGAACAAATAAACATCTGGAACTCCGGATTCCAGGAGAAGCATGTGGAAAACCATCAATCCCAAAGGGTTTTCATCTTTTGTCCTCCACACTCAGAATCCTGCACAGAAGACCAACTTCAGGTGTCTGACCATTCCCATTTCTATTGCTAGCTGTGAATCCACCTTTCTCTCCCACACCAAGGCTCATGTCTGTGTTACAGTCTCGCCAATGCACCACAATGTAGCAGTCTGTCATTGCCTGAGGTAGTATCCAGAGTTCTTTGTCTCATGACCAAGAAAGTTAAGGAGCATGGACGCCAAGGGTGAGGTTGGAGCAAAGTTTAAAAAGCAAAAGAAGAAATTTCTCTGCTGCGAAGAAGAGACCTGGAAGAGGGTTGCTGTTTTTACAGTTGAATGCAAAGGCTTTATAAGAAATTGATGAGGGCTGGGTATTTTATTTGCATAAGGCACACATTTCTGGTAGCTCCACCCCATCCTCCTAGTGCTCATGCAGACCTTTAGCTTGAGTTACTCCATATTGCTTTGTTCCTCTTACTGCACATGTCTCAGGGGATGGAATTTTCCACTGAGGGCATGTCTGGGCAAGTCACCTGTGTAGCCTTTCTTATCTGTGCGGCTGTGAGCATGTCTTAGACAAGCCCCCCTGTGCAATTTCCCTTATCTGTGCCTGCAGGCTGTTCTTTTGTTTGAAATAACTCAGCCAAGGACCCACCCTAACTGCCTGCCTGTCTGGTTTCTTCCTTTCTCCTTTCTCATCTGTACCTTCTCAAGTACATCCTGCAGGTTTGGCTGCCTGCCCTGGCCTCTGTGGGCCAAGGGGACTCAGGGCTGGCCAGCATTAAGCCCTCCCTACCCTGCCACCTTCTCACCTTTGCCTGCCTTCTCATCACATCTATGAGGCTCACAGAGTACCAGATGGACCAGAAGTACATGTCTCTTCTCCCCCTGGATTCCTGAACTTAAAGAGGATCTGTCCCCCAGACTCAGCCCCCAGAGAAGTGGGGTATGAGGGAGAACACAGGGCCACACTCCAGCACCTGGGCTGTCATTTCCCCCAGCTCTCCTCTGCCTGCAGAATCCTGAACAAACTTAGGGCCGGAGTCATGGCAGTTACAGCACCAGGTTCCTTCCAGGCCTGCTGTGTATGGCGCAGACTTTGGCTTTGGTATTGAAGCCAGTTTTCCTCCCAGGTGGAAATGTAAAAGTCTGTTTGGAAATTTAAAATCCAAGAAACAGGTGGGGTTTTTATTTTGCCGTTTGTACTGTATTCCAAAATCTCTCCCCTGAGAACAAACGTCTGACTGATGCCGATGTTCTTAGAAAAGACAGGACAAAGAGGGGTTCCTGGGAATTAACATACGAGTCAACATCAAAATCACACCCCACTGCCCTTGCATGTCAAAGGAGCTTCTGGAAATCCAAAAATACAGCTCCACTGCCCTTTTGTCAAGGGCCTCTCCACCTGCTTTTTATTGTGACTAGGATGTTTCTCCCTGCTGCCGGCAGGCTCGCAAATCTCCAGCCCCTCCTCCAGGGAGCCGCATCTGCTCTGCCTCCTCACTTCCTGCATCCATCTCTGAGGCACCCAGTAAAGCTCATCTTTATTGTGCTCTCTGGGGTCCTGGCTGCTGGGTTCAAAGCTGGCCCCACATATGCTGTCTTTCTGTCCTCCACCGGAGATGCTGCTGTTTCCAAGCCACGTCTAGATCTTGCAGGAACCCAGCGCTCCACCTCTTCTCTTCGGTCATCAGCTCCCTGAGCCTCAGGCCTGAGGTGGCCTCCAGGCTGAGGGTGGGCTGTTGGCCTGGCTGCCTTGCCCTTCCCTATCTTCTTCTAATCACCGCAGAATCCCCTCTCACAGCTAACTTGGGCTGAAGATCACATTCCAGCTTCCTCCTGAGAAGAACATCTAATTTCCCTTTCCTTCCCGGGATGAGAAATAATTAGGAGGCTTAGGACATGAACAGGAAGAAATCCAAAGTTGTTTGATTTGGCTGCAAGGCTACTACATGGCCCCCAAATTTTCCTTAGGTAGAAAGAGAGCTCTTGTCCTTTTTTTTTGAGATGGAGCCTTACTCTGTCACCCAGGCTAGACTGCAGTGGTGCGATCTTGACTCACTACAACCTCCACCTCCCGGTGAGAGACAGGACTAGCTAGATTTTCTAGGCCGACTAAGAATCCCTAAGCCTAGCTGGGAAGGTGACCACATCCACCTTTAAACACGGGGCTTGCAACTTAGCTCACACCCTACCAATCAGGTAGTAAAGAGAGCTCACTAAAAAGCTAATTAGGCAAAAACAGGAGGTAAAGAAATAGCCAATCATCTATTGCATGAGAGCACAGCAGGAGGGACAATGATTGGGATATAAACCCAGGCATTCGAGCCAGCAACGGCTACCCTCTTTGGGTCCCCTCCCTTTGTATGGGAGCTCTGTTTTCACTCTATTAAATCTTGCAACTGCACTCTCTTCTGGTCCGTGTTTGTTATGGCTCAAGCTGAGCTTTCGCTTGCCATCCACCACTGCTGTTTGCCGCCGCCGCAGACCCGCCTCTGACTTCCATCCCTCCAGATCTGGCAGGGTGTCCGCTGTGCTCCTGATCCAGCGAGGCGCCCATTGCCGCTCCCGATAGGGCTAAAGGTTTGCCATTGTTCCTGCACGGCTAACTGCCCAGGTTCATCCTAATCGAGCTGAACACTAGTTACCGGGTTCCATGGTTCTCTTCCATGACCCACGGCTTCTAATAGAGCTATAACACTCACCGCATGGCCCAAGATTCCATTCCTTGGAATCCGTGAGGCCAAGAACCCCAGGTCAGAGAACACAAGGCTTGCCACCATCTTGGAAGTGGCCAACCACCATTTTGGAAGTGGCCCGCCACCATCTTGGGAGCTCTGGGAGCAAGGACCCCACAGTAGCACTGAGTTCAAGCGATTCTCCTGCCTCAGCCTCCCGAGTAGCTGGAATTACAGGCATGCACCACCATGCCCGGCTAATTTTTTTGTATTTTTAGTAGAGACAGCATTTCACCACGTTGGCCAGGCTGGTCTCAAACTCCTGACCTCAAGTGATCTGCCTGCCTCAGCCTCCCAAAATGCTGGGATTACAGGCATAAGCCACCACCCCCCTGCTGAGAGCTCATGTCTTTAACAGGGCTTAGCTTGCTCAGCCCCACCATTTGTCTTTAGGACTTTGTGATCCTGGAGCACAGGATCCATTGTTGTCAGTCCATAAAGAATCCCTCATGGCTTAATTACACTGTGCTTCTTTACATTTGCATTAAAAATAATATGATATAAATCTCTAAATGTAACATAATCTATAAAATTAAGATTTGAACACACAAAGGGGAATGCAAATAAACACTGATAATCATATAACCGAATGTCTAACTCCATAGGCTCAAGACATCGCATAGTATTACTTGTATTGGAAGCTATTATTCTCAGTGTCAAATAAATAAATTAATTAGAAGAGCCATTTTTACTCATTTATCTTATATATTCTAATGTTTTTTCATCCAAATGAAATGTAAAGGATGTTGGCCTATTCAGAGAAAACTTTTTCTACTGTGGAAGACAATGTAAATAGGGATTTTACTTAGCAAGATAATCACTGCCTTTCATAATTCTCTTTAAAGAGATTTTCATTAGAGTTCTCCAGTGCCTCAGGTTAGCAGTGGTTTTGTGTTGGTTTGTTTGGTTTTTTGCATCTAAATGATTGATATCAACCTACTCCCTCCTGTCACCCAGGTAAATCATCCCCAAAAGGTCAAAGCAAAGTCAGAGGCTGGGTGCGGTGGCTCCAAGAACAGATCTGGGGTTTTCAGCCTGCTGTGATGAGTAACTCTCTGGTTCTGGGGTGTTAGAAATGTATGTCTAGTTGCAGGTAAGAACAAATCCATATAAACAGTAAGAGAGGTGAGAGAGAGTCTGCAAATTATTAATGGGTAAGAAATGTATTTGTGGGCAACAAACAGTGTTGGAAAGCACAAGGTAGCCCTTCTGGGCTGGGGCAGGAGATGTGACTCTAGCCAGACATCTGGGGACAGGGTTGGACCAATGTGAGATTCTTCCCCTTGTCTGTCAGAGATGGTAAGGGCTAATTATTAAGCAGAAGGTACTTGGAATTAATCCAAAGGTGGATCTGGCCTCAGATACAGCGCTCAAGGGAAAGAAAACTTATGAGAGTCTAGGCTTGGCGAGAAGCAGCCAAGAGAGAAACCAGTTCCAGGCGGGAGGAGGTTTAAGAAAAGGGGCAACTTCCAAACTGCATTCAGAAAGGGAGGGAAGCTAAAAATAACTTGTTTTCTTCCAGGACTGGGGTCAGCAAGAGAGAAGTGTAGCTGGCTGAGCTTCCTAAAGTCAGGGGAAGAAGTTAAGATGAGAAGCCAGACTCTTCTATGAAGTTATCAGTATATATAAAACTGCATGGGGCCTGCCCAAGAATAATGTTGAATCCTCATACAGAAGAATAAAGGACTTACCTATTAATAAGAATAGAGAAGGCTAGGTGTGGTGGCTCATGCCTGTAATCCCAACACTTTGGGAGGCTGAGGCGGGCAGATCATTTGAGGTCAGGAGTTTGAGACCAACCTGGCCAATATGGTGAAACCCCATCTGTACTAAAAATACAAAATACAAAAATAAAATAGTTATTTCAATAACTAAAAATACAAAAATTAGCCAGGCACGGTGGCACACACCTGTAATTCCAGCTACTTGGGAGGCCGAGACAGGAGAATCTCTTGAACCTGGGAGGCAGAGGTTGCAGTGAGCCAAGATCACACCACTGCATTTCAGCCTGGGTGAGGGAGTGAAACACTGTCTCAAAAAAAAAAAAAAGTTGAATTTTGATGAGGTTCAATATATTTGTTTTTTCTTTTGTTACTTATGTTTTGGGTGTCATATCTGAAAAATGATTGCCTAATCCAAGGACACAAGGATTTATGCCTATGTTTTCTTCTATGAATTTTACAGTTTTAGCTCTTCCATTCAGATCTTTATTCCATTTGGAGTTTTGTATATGGTATGAGGCAGGGGTCCTAATTTATTATTTTACATGTGAATATCTAGTTTAGTCTTTATTGAAAAGGCTACTGACTTCTTGGACATGTGAATATCCACTTTAATCTTTATTGAAAAGGCTGCTGACTTCTTGGCACTCTTGTCGAAACAAAATTGACTATAAATTTGACAGTTTATCTCTCAATTATATTCTCTTGCCATCTATGTCTATCTTGATCAGTACTTCATTGTCCTGATTACTATAGCTTTGTAGTAAGTTTTAAAATCAGGGACTTTCCAACTTCATTCTTCTTTTTCAAGATTCTTTGGGTATTTTGGGTCTCTTGATTTTTTATACAAATCTTAGAATCAATTTGTCAATTTCTGCAAAATAACTAGCTGGGATTTTAATAGGGGTTGCATTGAATCTGTAGATCAATTTAAAGAGTATGGGCATTTTAATAATATTAAATCTGCTCATCCATGAACATGGAATGTCTTTCCATTTATTTGGGTCTTTTAATTTCTTTCCACAATGGTTGGTGGTTTATAGAGTATAAGCTTTATACTCCTTTTGTGAAATTTATTTCTCACAAAAGAATGAAGTATTTCATTCTTTTTGATGCTATGATAAATGGCATTGTATTCTTAATTTTGTTTGGGGAATGGCAAATGCAAGTGCATAAAAATACAATTTATTTTTATGTTGACCTTATATCCTGAAACCTTGCAGAACTTGCTTATTAGTTACAGTAATTTTTAAGTGGATTATTGAAGATTTTCTATATATAAGATCATGTCATCTGCCAATAGAGATGGTTTATTTCTTCATTTCCAGTATGGATGCCATTTACATCTTTTGCATGCCTAATTACCCTGAATACAACCTTCAGGACAATGTTGAACAGAAGTGAAAAAATCCTTGTTTTCTTCGTCATTTTAGGAAAAAAACATTCAGTGTTTCGTCATTAAGATATTAGCTGTTAGATTTACAAGCTCCTCATTCCACTATGCCAAAAGTCCCATGTCCAACACAACTGGCTATTTTCGGCCCTTTGCATCACCATATGAATTTTAGGATTAGCTTGTCAATTTCTACAGAGAAGGTAATTAAAAGGGATTTTGATAGGGATTGTGTTGAATTTGTAGGTCAATTAGATGAGTATTGTTATCTTAACAACATTAAGTCTTTTGATTCAAAAGCATGGGACATATTCTAAGGCAGACATCTATCCATTTTTTCTCAGCTTTGGACCTCCGGAGAGCCTCTAAATCCTTGCACCATAAATTATACTCTAGTAAACATCTTTATAAATAATTATGTCTCCTATGAATTCAGGTGAGAAATTTTTTGGAAAATATAACCAGGTCTAGAATGGCTGTACATATGATATGAATATATTTACTTTTGCCAAACAGTGCTGGACTGCTCTGCAAAATGGCTATTCTAGTCCACTCTCCCACAAGCAGTTCATGAATGTTTTCTGTATTCCCCAAATCTATGCCAATAATTATAATTATCAAGCTTTTTAATCTTTGACACTCTGATATCTGTAAAATAATTATCTTGTGTTTTAATTTTTCTGTATCTGATAATCAATGAGCTTGAGCGTCTTTTCATATGTTTGGTGGCCTTTTGAGTTTTCCTGTGTATAACTCATGAGCTCATGACCTTTGTCCATTTTTCTATTGGAGTTTCTGTCATTTCCTAATGATTTGGGAAGTTTGTTATATATTCTAAATTCTTGCTACTCAGCTGGGAGCTTGTTAGAAATGTAGAATCCATGGCTCCCTTCCAGACCCATTGAATCAGATCAGGATGATAACAAAATCCTCAAATGCCTATTGAAGTTTGAGAACCATTGTTCTAGATTTCAATCTGCTTTTCAGTTTTCAACATTGCAAACACCTTCTTTCATTCTATCAAAAGGTGTTCATGCTTTATTTTGTTAAAAAGAAATAATTATGATTTAAACAAATATAATTTTTGTTTTAAGGTTTATGCTTAGTTCAAAACAATATTATCTATATTTTCCCTATTACCTACATAGTTTAACCTTTTATATTTAGTTCATATTAAACTTTTTAATATTTAGTTCTTTTTATTTATTTTTAATATTTAGTTCTTTATATTTTATATTTAGTGCTTTTTTTTTTTTGAGATGGAGTTTTGCTCTTGTTGCCCATGCTGGAGTGCAATGGCGCAATCTCAGCTTACTGCAACCTCCGCCACCTGGATTCAAGTGATTCTCCTGCCTCAGCCCCCTGAATAGCTGGGATTACAGGCACCCGCCACCACACCCAGCTAGTTTTTGTATTTTTAGTAGAGACACGGTTTCACCATGTTGGCCAGGCTGGTCTCAAACTCCTGACCTCAGGTGATCCGCCCCCTTCATTTTCCCAAAGTGCTGGGATTACAGGCATGAGCCACCACGCTTGGCCTATTTAGCTCTTTTATCCATTTTGAATCCATATTTTTATGTCATGTTAGGTAAGCAACTAATTGTGTTTTTCACCATGTAGGGGTCATTTTTCTCAGCACCATTTGTCAGACAAACTAATGAGTCCTCGTTAATTTGTGGCATCCCAGTTATCTTATAGTAATTTCTCAATTATATATTTGGGTCTTTCTTTCTGAACTTTTTCTTCTGTTCCATCAGCCCATTTGACTGTTCTCATACCATTATCACACTCTTTTTTTTGTTTTGATTATAGCCCTGTGACGTACTTTATATTTGATAGGACAAGTGCCCCTCTTTATACTGATTAAAATTTTCTTAGCTATTTCTAGACTTTGAGTTTTTTCATATAAATTTTAACATAAAGCTTAACACAAAATCCTCAAAAAGTTCAAATTGGATCTTCGTTGTCAGACCATTAAATGTTTCGATAGTTGGAGTGAGGAGATAATGACATGTTCATAATATGATGCTGTCCCATCCTAGAACATGGAATCTCTCTCCACTGATCAGATCTTTTTTATATCTTTTATAGAAGACTTGGTATTCTTGGTTAATTCTTAGATTCATTTTTTTTGATGCTATGGTGAATAGTGTGTTATTATTGTTCTGTTTTCTAGTTAATCATTGCTGATATAAAGAAGTGGCACTTTAAAATTGATCTTTATTCCCCAAGCTTGCTGTAGTGGTTTTTAAAAAGGTCCACATATTCTTTGGTCCTCCTCCCTCCAAGGAGTAGAGGCTATTCCTCTCCCCTTGAGTATGGGTGTAGTGACTTATGTCTAAGAAATAGAATATGCTGGTGAAAGTGATGATGTCTGACTTCTGAACTAGGTCATAAAATGTATTCATTTCCTCTTATTCACTTGCTTTGGGCAGAGTTATGGCAGGACAATATGTCCTGCCATATGGTGAGGACACTCAAGTAGCCTTATAGAGCAGTCCACATGGTGGGGAACTGAGGTCTTTTTCCAAAAGTCATGTGAGTGAGCCATCTTGGAAGTAAACCCTCCAGCTCCAAGTAAGTCGTCAGATAACTGTACCCCCCAGAAAACATCTTGACTGCAACTTCATGGGAGACCCTCAACCAGAACCATCCATCTAAGTTGTGCATGATTACATATTATAAAATTCCATTTACATGAACTATCCAGAATAGGCAAATCTATAGAGGAAATAGATTAGTGGTTGCTTAGGGGTAGGGGGATAAGGAGATAATAGAGAAAGGATTTGGGATCTTGGTTTGTTTTGAAGTGATGAAAATGTTTTAGAGCTTACTCTGGTGATGATGGCTGCACATATCTGTAAGTATAGTACAATCCATTGAATCATATACTTTTTAAATGGGTGAATTGTATAGTATGTGAATTATATCACAATAAAAGGAAGAAAAGGAAGGAAAGAAGGGAGGGAGGGAAGGAAGGAGGGAGGGAGGGAGGAAAGGAATGAGGGAGGGAGGGAGGGAAGGAAGGAAGGAGGGAAGGAAGGAGGGAGGGAAGGAAGGAGGGAGGGAAGGAGGGAGGGAAGGAAGGAGGGAGGGAAGGAGGGAAGGAGGGAGGGAGGAAATCACAGCGACTAGTACATCAATTCATTTCATACCATGGGAAAAGGCAGCATTTTCTAGGCCCCCCAAAACACTCTAGAATCTTGTTATTCTCAATTCTAGACCAATGAGACCAACTTTCTTTATATTTGCTAAGAGAGACTTGCAAGTGACCCTTCATAGGACAAACAGAATAACTTCTCTCAATTCAGTAAAACCACACCTAGCTACACTTACCAAGTGTAAATTACAAAGAAAAGTTTAAAGGAAACTACATCAATTTTATATAAAACAAAACCTTTTACAATGTAAATACAAAAGAGAAATAAAGATTCACACATTATTCCCTTACTTTTCCTGCTTTGTGTATAACACTGTTGACAGAAACTGCCTATAAAGATCCCATTTGGGAGTGGAGTCAACATCTGTATATATGTAATATTGGCCACAACAATCTAAGTGATTTCCAAGGTAATAATTTATTTCCCCAGTAAGCGCCGTTAAAAATTGTGTTGCTTTGAAAAATAAACCAAATTCCTTTTGTGTTAGATTCCCCAGAGGACTCTAGTTTCATTTTGAATCCAGCCTTACACATGAAAGCCTCAATCTAGGAAGGCTGACTGCTCAGTTCAGGGTGCTAAACTATACTGTCATACTGTATTTAAGAGGTTTAAAGTAAATTAACTCAGAGTTGCTTCAAAGTGTGAGCTCATCTATAAATACGGCACAACAAATCAGATTTGTCTCCCATAAGTAGTTTTAACAGCTGTCTTTTCACTGTCTCTCCTCCCCGCCCCCCAAGCTTGTTACCTCTTTACAAAATTGCACCTCCTTCAGAGCCAGGATTTTCCCTTTCTCTTGTGCACGTCCCCCAGCCCCCAGCACCTGTGAGGGATCTCGGTGTGGGGGTGACAGACACGGATCTCACCCAACAGAGTAGACAATCAGTGTGGCCGTGGGAGATCTACACTCCAAAGCTCAGCCATTCTGAGTTTCTCACTCGGAATCTTTTTTACTCTTTTTTAACACATAGTTATGCCAGTCCTAGCTACCTGATTTCCTAGCCAATGCAAAACTAGAAGTAGCTAACTGGTTGTTGGAGGTAAGCCCCTGGCAGATGTGATGAGTATCAGATAAAAGAAAGGGAGAACAGAGAAAATCCTGAATTTGAAAATCACAACAATCACTTAACGCAGGTGCAAGGCAACTTATATCTCAATAGCCATGTGGGGGTTTTCTGTTCTATAGAAACCGAATTCCAGTCCTGAGCCATGGTCCTTTGAAAGATTGTATTATGCTCAAGATATTCTATTTCAAAGAGCAGAGATATACACATCATAAAATTATATACTTCTGTATGTTTGAAATTTTACATTGAAAAAGGTAAAAATATTTTAAAATATTGGTATTTAGAGAAGATAGTTGTGCTGCTTGTCTTGTTTAAAACAGTTAAACTTTTTAAACAGCCCACTCCTGGTTATTCTGAATTAACAAAGATGAACCTGATATTGAAAACAGTTACAGAGTACAGAATAATTTGCAAACATTAGTGATTCTCACATAGTGATATTCAGTACAATTCTAGAATTCCTTGCTTAAACAAATCTTGAATACCTAGGATGTGCTGGGTGCTATGTTGGGTGATGTGAGGCAACAAAAATAAGACATGGTCGCTGCTCTCAAGGAGCCTGAGCCTAGTGGGTGAGATGTCTAGATTATGAAATAATTACCCCACAATATGGTGCTATCATAAAGGGCTCCACAAAGAGATAAGCACATTATCCTTAGAAGATACAACTTTTGAAATGTGTCTGATTGGGTTTTGTTGTTGTTGTTGTTGTTGTTGTTTGTTTGTTTGTTTTGAGATGGAGTCTCACTCTGTCTGCCAAGCTGGAGTGCAGTGGCTTGATCTCAGCTCACTGCAACCTTTGCTTCCCGGGTTCAAGTGATTCTCCTGCCTCAGCCTCCCAAGTAGCTAGGACTACAGGTGTGTGCCACCACACCCGGCAAATTTTTGTATTTTTAGTAGAGATGGGGTTTCACCATGTTGGCCAGGCTGATCTTGAACTTCTGACCTCGAGTGATCTGCCCACCTCGGTTATGGGGGTTTTAAGAGTGATCATAAACCTCACTCTTATCGCCTTGGAAGAAACTAAGAAAGAAATACAATGAAGATTAAAATAGTGTATGCATGTGAACCTGGATTCAAAGATAAGGCTTGGGCCAAGGGGCAAAAAAAGAGAAGTCTTTCTCACATTTCTCTCATCATCTAGACCTAAGGAACTACACATATATGAAGGCCAAGAGGAAACTGGCTGTGCAGGGCAGACTGTTACCCAGCCAGTGGCAGGCAGGAGTGTGGACTGCCTTGCACAGATAGAGCCCAAGAACGGGAGGGAAGGGGAGACCACGTATGGGAGACGTGTGAGTATGTTGGCCCCACCTGATAGAGATGCACGAATGTGGGAGGGGTTGTTAGACTTCTCCAGCTCTCCAGTGAAAGAAATCATGCCTTTTTCCATAAGGGGATGAAGCCAAGAGGAAGAGAGAAAAATCAGAAGTGTTTCTGCAATACTATTCCCAATTAGTGAATATAGTAGGAGTGGCCTCCCCTCTACCCAAACAGAAGCAGCAGAAATAAGCATCCCATGCCAATAGGTCTTGAAGGATAAAAAGAGATTCAGCAGGGAGATGAAAGGAATCATTCCATATAAAGGGAAAGGCAAGGCAAAATAGGAAGATTTCACTGTACAAAGTGCCTTCAGAAAAAGGTGAGAATAGAGTCTCTTGACATTTATCAAGAATTTCTAACTAAAGGCGGTTGATACCCCTAAATAAATATGTTTCTATTCCTCCAAGTCTAGATCTAAAAACAGCATAGAAGGGCACTACTCAACGAGTTTGTGCTTTCTTATTTGGGGATCACTAAGCCTTTTGAATCTGTGGGTTAATGTCTTTCAGTTATAATCTCCTTAAATATTGCTTCTATCCATTCCCCCTTCCTGCTCTCTCTGAGACTCTAGTTATCCCACGTCTCTTACGCTGTTATTGTTTACTTTTCCATTTTTTCTCTATATTTGTTTTGAATATTTTCTAACAACCTGCCTTCTAGTTACTTAGTAAACTACATGCACAATCTGTCATTAAACAAATTTACTGAATGCTTATTTTTAGATATTATACTTTTAGAAGGTCCATTTGGGGAGTCTCTGAGTCTACTCTGACTCGAGAGACTACCCAAGGAAAAAAAAATGAATTGGGAAAAAAAGAATATCCATTCAATTATTATTTTTATAGAGTTCATTCCAAATATCTGGTGAAATTATCTATTCTGTCATCTATTTTGTGCATCTTTTTTCTATTTTCTTGAATATATTAATCATAGTTATTTAGAAGCTCTTATCTGTTAACTGCAATATCTCTCCCATCTGTGAGTATTTCTATTGCCTAGTTTTTTTAACTTAGTTATCTATGACATGATCTGGTTCTTTACATGTTTAGAAATTTCTTATTTTATGCCAGCCATTTTGTTTAAAGACCTAAAGGCTCCAGATGGTACTACCTTCCTCCTTTCCTCTGTTAGGCACGTCTGATGAGAGACAAAGCTAAACTGGGGCTTTGATACAATTTAGTAAGAGTTTTGGTAAGACTCAGCCTACCTCATTTACCCCTGTTCCTAGGATGTGATCTTCCTGGGTTATGAATTGAGAACCTGGCAAGTGCTTGTGTCCTTAGCCCTAAAAGACTACAAAAGATTCTGTTCTGCCTTTCAGGGGTTTTATTTTATTTTATTATTTATTTATTTAGAGACAGAGTTTTGCTCTTGTTGCCCAGGCTGGAGTGCAATGGCACGATCTTGGCTCACCACAACTTCTACCTCCTGGGTTCAAGTGATTCTCCTGCCTCAGCCTCCTGAGCAGCTGGGATTACAGGCATGCGCCACCACGCCCAGCTAATTTTGTATTTTTAGTAGAGACGGGGTTTCTCCATGTTGGTCAGGCTGGTCTCAAACTCCCAATCTCTGGTGATCCGCCTGCCTTGCCCTCAGCCTCCCAAAGTGCTGGGATTACAGGTGTGAGCCACGACACCCAGCTCAGGGGTTTTAAAGCTTAGGTTTTTAGCCTTCCACAGATTCAAATTTTGGCACATTTCTTGAGACGGAGCATGACTATCTGTTTGAGGCCTATCTAGCCTTCAATGGTATCACCCTAGTCTCTCCTAAATATTATAATCTCTCTGTCTTCCAGCAGCTGGCTTAGGGGCAAGCCTGGATTCTTACACTGTAGCAGCTCCCAGAATTAGCTCCTAGGTAAAAGGGCTGGTAGAATCTGTGTCAACATACCAAGCATCCTGTAGTTTTCATCTGTTGCCTTTTTGTTTTCATTTCAACTCCGCCTGGTCATTTTCATTTCTTAGACACCTCCAGACCATAGGATATTTCACTCTATATTTTAAAACGTGCAGTCCAGGTGTGGTGACTCAAGGCCAGGTGCCGTGGCTCACACCTGTAATCCCAGCACTTTGGGAGGCCGAGGCAGGTGGGTCACTTGAGGTCAGGAGTTCAAGACCAGCCTGGCCAACATGGTGAAACCCCGTCTCTACTAAGAAATACAAAAAATTAGCCGGGCATGGTGGCGGGCGCCTGTTATCCCAGCTACTCAGGAGGCTAAGGCAGGAGAATCACTTGAACCCGGGAGGTGGAGGTTGCAGTAAGCCGAGATTGTGCCACTGCACTCTAGCCTGGGCAACAGAGCAAGACTCTGTCTCAAAACAAAACAAAATAAAATAAAATAATAAAACTTGCTATGTGACTCTTTATGACCGGGCACCATGGCTCATGCCTGTAATCCCAGCCCTTTGGGAGGCCGAGGTGGGTGGATCACCTGAGGTCAAGAGTTCGAGACTAGCCTGGCCATCATGGTGAAACCCCCATCTCTACTGAAAATACAAAAATTAGACAGGCATGGTGGCATGTGCCTGTAATCCCAGCTATTCAGGAGGCTGAGGAAGAAGAATCACTTGAGCCCAGGAGGCAGAGGTTGCAGTGAGCTGAGATTGCGCCACTGCACTCCAGCCCGGGAGACAGAGCGAGACTTTGTCTCAAAAAAAAAAAAAAAAAAAAAAAAAAAAAAAAAAAAACATGCTACCTGACTCTTTAATCCCCCAGACAGCCTCAGAATTCAGAAAATGTTTCATGGGGGAACCTAGACATGTATTTGAGGCTCTGAAAATCCCTGCTTTGGGAAGCCCAACCCAACAGGACCACTCAGACTTTTGCTGATTTTACTGTATACCCCATACCCACCCAAGCAGGTGGTCTCTGCTGGAGTCAAGCTCTGATCCTTAGCCCAGCCCAGAATCAGAGAATGCCCTAGGGGGAAATAACAGGTAGGCATTGTCCACTTATCTCTGGACAGTTCTATCCCTTCCTGAAAATTTAGTCCATTTATCCTTGTATTATAGCTTCTGTAACTCTCTGGTGCCATTAAAAATATGACCTTTGTAATGTATCCGCTTTTTAAACTTTTTCTCAATGGACGAGTTAGCCTTCCATGACCTATCCAAAAGCATCTGGATTCACAGGTTTGGCTACGCCCATGGGTAAACCACTGCACACCCCCAAAATATATACACACGCTCTATTCCCTCACTTTGCTATATTTTCCCTTACTGGATTCTTCATTTATATAAATATTGATGGCATACCCTGATCATCCAGTTTTTGCCACTCCCCTCACCCAGTTCTCTACTAAGAATCTGTGTTCCAGTGGGGGACAGGCATTCAAGAGCTGGATCCCCCTGTGTCTGGTGGGACAGGGTTCACTGCCTGCACTGCAGAACTGGAAAGCCTCTGTCACCCTGAACACGCCAAGTGTACCTACCTGCCTGAAAGGGGTGGGATTCATGGCTTTAGAACTAGAATAGGAAAAGTTTTTTGTTTTTACCCAGACCATTTAGGAAAAGATTTAAGTAAAGAGCTGGCCAGGCACGGTGGCTCACACCTGCAATCCCAACACTTTGGGAGGCCAAAGCAAGAGGATCACTTGAGCCCAGGAGTTGGAGACCAGCCTGGGCAACATAAGGAGACAATATCCCTACAAAAAGAAATTTTTTTTTAGCTAGCCAGGCATGGTGGTGCATACCTATGATCCCAGCTAGGGAGGCTTGAGCCTGGGAGGTTGAAGCTGAAGCAAGCCTTGACTGCACCACTGTTATCTAGCCTGGATGATGGAGCAAGACCCTGTCTCAAAAAAACAAACAACAAAAAAGATTTAAGCAAAGACTTGTGGTTCAAATTTTGGCCCTTGTGTCTCAAATGAATGAGGTTTGAGTGAAATATATATATATATATATATATATATATATTTTTTTTTTTTTTTTGAGATAGGGTCTCACTTTGTCACCAAGGCTGGAGTGCAGTAGCATGATCTCAGCTCACTGCAACCTCTGCCTCCCAAGCTCAAGCAGTCATCCTACCTCAGCCTCCCAATTAGCTGGGATGACAGGTGTGCACCACCACACCCAGCTAGTTTTTTGTGCTTTTGGTAGAGATGACGTTTCACCACGTTGCTCGGCTGGTCTCGAACTCCTGAGCTCAGGCGATCCACCCACCTTGGCCTCCCGAAGTGCTGGGATTACAGGTGTGAGCTGCCGCCCCCGGCCTGAAATATTTTTTTAATGGGAGATTTCAGTTCATCTCTCCACCCCAAAAAATCTAGATTTCTGTTGTTTCTTTACCAAGTGGTCCAGTAACCGGGCTCTGTTTCACATGGCAGCATTCAGCTGCAGATGCCACTCTAGGTGGGACATGTCCTCTCCAGAGGGGCCTGGGGCAAGGCAGGTGAGGGACCCAGGTGCTAAATGCCTGTGGTCTTGCTCTCAGAGCCATGCAAGCACATCGTCGGCTTTTGCACCTCCAGGAGCGAATGCCTCCTACAAGTTCACACAGCGGCCTCCCTCGAGGCCCAGCTCTGCTCTCCAGTGTCTCGCCTGTTTAACTCCCTTGTGACTGCAGCCTGCCTGGCCCCTGTGGGCACGGACAAAGCTGAATGAGCGACTCAGGCTCCTGCAAGCCAGAAGTCAATGGTGGCCCCTAGCACACACCTGCTCCTCTTGTCACAACAGCAGATACGGTAACTCAGAAAAGCTCATTCTGCAAACTTCCTGCTTTCCTTCACTGCTGCTTAAATGTAGTGTTTATATTATTGTAATTAAAAACAACTTCATTATCCAGTGGGAGAGTAATTCTGTGCCCCTTTACAGCATTCTGAGTCTTCCCTATATGGCTCAAATATGCCTCAAACAAGAAACCAGTTGCTAGGGGACCAGCAGGCAAACTTCAAGAGACAGGTGGTTTCTGCCTTTTCTCTCAACTTCTCTATCCAATCCCAGCCCAGGCCAGCCTATCGGTACATTTAGAAAAAAGAAAAATAGAAAACACACACACCGCCCCTCTTCCATAACTTCAAAGGAGACTTTGCATGTGTTATTAGGGAAATCACGAAAGTGGTTTTGAACACAGAATAAAATATGATGACAACGTTTAAACTTGTACCCGTTAACTCTGCTGTCTGGCTTCTTTAGGACACCAGCATGATGTGCTGGTAGAGAAACTCGTATGATATTGTAAGGGCTTTTTTCCTTTTTCATTTCATGTTCCTTCTGCTGGAAATATGAGGGTGGTAGGTTGGACCACAGAAAGAAACCTAAAAAAAAAATTAAAGAACCAAAAATTATTCTATACTAAATTTGCAATGTAAAGCATCGACTTGGTTGGTCAGATAGCCTGTATCTTTTAAAAGATATGGAAGTTCAATTAAATAATAAAAACATTAAAATATTCACAAAGAAAATATGCAACACCAATAAGAGATTATAAAATGTCATGTGCCGCAGGCATGTCTAATTTGTTCTTTTAGTGGCAGGCAGTAAACACGATGTTGAGAAATTTAGATTCGGTCTCTAAGTTGGCAGAAGTCCCTTAGAATAGCACCGTTGTGAACAGGAACCCCCCCAGCATCCTGGGCTAAGGATACTGTGATCTTTTCAGCATTTCCTGAAGTTTTCTGTCTGGAATAGGCTGACCCTGGTATTATCCTGGGACCTCTTCTTTATGCCTGAAATAGCCAGAAAGACTGAAGGCTCAGTCCAGCTTGTGAAGACCAAAATGCTTACTATTTAGCCCTCTATATAAACACCTCTGCTTTAAATCAACACCCAAAGTTGAGATGTTTTTTAGTTCTTCACTTAAAAATATTTTTTACAATATTTGTAAAACCAATTAACTACCTTCACTATTTTCAATGCCCTTGTTTTCTTCTGGTAGTTCAGTGATGTATACATAATACATGTTAGTGATTCAATGTGTCTTTTATCTCTAGAATGATCTAGTTGATTTGGATATATTATATGCATGATTTCTTTTCTCACTGTATTACTCATAACAATCTTGTTCTGAATTCTCCATTCTGGAAAGGGACTATTTCTTTAATTTTCAGCCTGTTTCAGCCATTTTCGCATCAAATTTCAAAATTATTTCTAGTAAGTTTTAAGATTATTCCTTGTTTTCTGTAAATATTCTGTAAATAATCTGTGGTTATCATCAAAAACATCACTTACTTAGCTAAACATTGAACACATAATATTATTTCAGGCCTTCACACCTATTTCCTTGTCTTTGTTGAAACCTTTGACCTTGGCTGTTTATCAAGTCTTCCTTTGTCAGTTTAGTAATGGTGTGAGTGCTTTTTTGATATGCAAGCCTGCTCACTTTTATTAGTGTTTCCACTTGTTAAAAATGTATGCAGTCAGCTGGGCGCAGTGGTTCACGCCTGTAATCCCAGCACTTTGGGAGGCTGAGGTGTGCGGATCACAAGGTAAGGAGTTCAAGATCATCCTGGCTAACATGGTGAAACCCGGTCTCTACTAAAAATACAAAAAAAAAAAAATAGCTGGGCGTGGTGGCGGGCACCTGTAATCCCAGCTACTTGGGAGGCTAAGGCAGGAGAATCTCTTGAACCTGGGAAGTGAAGGTTGCAGTGAGCTGAGATCGCGCCACTGCACTCCAGCCTGGGTGACAAAGCGAGACTCCGCCTAAAAAAAAAAAAAAAAAAAAAAAAAAAAGCATGCAGTCCATTTCTCTGAAGATTTTCTTTCTTTTCTCTTTTCAATCTTTTTTATTTTCAGAGCTCCACTGCCATATTTTCTATTTTTATTATTTTGACTTATTCACATATTATCCAGGACCTAAAAAAATTCAATGCAACTGTATTCTGAATGAATACAATTTTAAAATGTACTAATCAAAAACATGAATTGCCATAAATGTAAAAATTAAAATATTAAAATTATGTTTTCAAAAAATTTTTTCTCTCAAGTAGTCACACATTTTATTTTATTTTTTTTTAGATGGAGTCTTGCTCTCTCACCCAGGCTGGAGTACAGTGGCGTGATCTTGGCTCACTGCAACCTCCACCTCCCGGGTTAAAGCGATTCTCCCAACTCAGTCTTCAAAGGAGCTGAGATTACAGGCATGCGCCACCATACCCAGCTAATTTTTGTATTTTTAGTAGACATGAGGTTTCACCATGTTGGCCAGGCTGGTCTCGAACTCCTGATCTCAAATGATCCACCCACTTGGGCCTCCCAAAGTGCTGGGATTATAGGTGTGAGTCACTGTGCCCAGCCACACATTTTAAATTAAAAGACAGACCTGGCAACGTGGCTCATATCTGTACTCCCAGCACTTTGGGAGGCCAAGGTGGGAGGATCACTTGAGTCCAGGAGTTCAAGACCAGCCTAGACAACATGGTGAGACCCTGCCTCTATTATTTAAAATAAAAAAAATCAAAAGATTTTTTAATGAAAATAAAAGACAAAATTTAAACAACAAAGTAAATCAAGCTTTTTTAAAAGCTGAAATTTTTATTTGATATTTTGAATTTAGATTAAATCTTAAACATTTTTATAAAAATAGCACTATTTAAATTCTACTGGTCATTTTCTATAGAGTTAACAATATAAAGAATCGACATTTCGCTTCAAACATGTTACCTCTAGCCTTTACATACACACATTTAAGAGGAATACGTATTGTTTAATATCACAAAGCACCCTTCAGCCACCATGCGTACCTGTTGTGAATATCAAAGAACTGAAACCATGAATTAGAACACAAAGAGAAGCAAGAGAAAGGACTCAGTACTATTGAGAAGCAACACTTTGTTGAGCTTTGATGCTGGAAGAAAGTATTTGACAAGTGAATTAATCTGTCTTCCCTCCGCCCTAGGCACTTCTAATATTTAAATCCTTTCCACGTTTCTGAGCAGAAGAGCCTCTAAACTTTCAAGCCGCTCTGGGAGCCTCTAAACTTTCAAGCCACTCTGTCACAGCCACCTTCTGTTTGGAAGACACAGGGTGAAAGATAAGAAAGGCAATTTCAGGCCAGGCTTTGTGGCCCATGCCTGTAATCCCGGCACTTTGGGAGGCCAAGGCAGTCGGATCTCTTAAGACCAGGAGTTCAATACCAGCTTGGCCAACATGATGAAACCCCATTTCTACTAAAAATACAAAAAGTAGCCGGGTGTGGTAGCACGCGCCTGTAGTCCCAGCTACTTGTGGGGCTGAGGCAGGAGGATCGATTGAGCCCAGGAAGTCGAGGCTGCAGGGAATCGTGATTGTGCCACTGCACTCCAGCCGGGGTAACAGAGTGAGACCCTTTCTCTCAAAAAAGGGGGGTGGGGACGAAAAGGCAATTTCTCTGAGGCCTGAACAGTGTTCCTGAGGACAGCATCTGTTTAGGGTTACAGGTGACCCTGTGCCAGCTCTAGGGGCCACATCTCAGTGACAGAAGCGCTAGGCATTCTTTCACACATTGTGCCCCCTGGGGATATGCAGGTCCCATAAGAGGGACACGGTGCCCCTCTTGTCCAGGTTTAAGGGTGGCACTGTGAGGGCCCATTTCTCTGGGATGAGCCTGCCTAGGGCTGGGCTCAGGAGGCAGGAAGACTAGAATGGAATGTGAGAGCTTCCCACGCTCAGAAAGGTGACTGGTGTCTCCAGCTTCTGAGCAGTCCCAGCGATGCGGCAGGGCCTCAGGGGAATAACCGCTTGAACTCAGCAGGGGAGGCGGGCCCAGCCTGTGCAGTGACCTCCACGCCCTGGCTCAACAGGAGGGCATTGAGGACCAGGGGGGTGAGGACGAGGGGTCTGTAAACCAGCCAGTGGCAACCAGAAACCAGAGGCCTCTCCTGCCCGCACCCCGGGACCTTGATAGGACCCCGATAGGACCCCGAGAGGGAAGAAGAGAGCCTCTGTCATGAAAAGAATTGTATTCCAGCCTCGCCAGATTAGATTTGACTTGAAGCAGGAAGAAAGAAATGTGACATTTCTCACCTCATTTTGTTCAAAAAAATCAGAATCCACCACGGAAGTAAATTTGTTTGAGTCGTGGCACGTTTCTCCAGCTCTTCTCTCCTCCACCCCTGGAAGCGAGGGGAGCCCACGGTCTGGGGAAGGGCGGACGTCGGGGCCTTCCCTACCGGACAGCACTGCCGCTTCTGCCATCTGCCTTCCTCCTTCTGCGGACTGTCCCTGCCGGAGGCCCCCAGCGGCCTGGCCTCGCATCAGATCGCCTGAGGGCCTCTCAGGTGTTGGTGGAGGGAGGTCATCTGGGTGGGAGAAGTTTTGCCATCAGCCTGAGGAGAGGACAGTGGGGATTCTGGGCAGAAAACAATGCGAACCATCAACAGAATATACATATATATATATATATATATATATATATATATATATATATATATATAGTTTTTTTTTTTTTTTTTTTTGAGACGGAGTCTCACTTTGTCATCCAGGCTAGAGTGCAGTGGCGCAATCTTGGCTCACTGCAACCTCCACCTTCTGGGTTCAAACAATTCTCCTGCCTCAACCTCCCGGGTAGCTAGGATTACAGGCGCCCACCACCACGCCAGGCTAATTTTTGTATTTTAGTAGAGAGAGAGTTTCGCCATGTTGGCCAGGCTGGTCTTGAACTCCTGACCTCAAGTGATTCACCCGCCTCGGCCTCCAAAGTGCTGGGATTACAGGCATGAGGCACCGCGCCCAGCAACAGAAGTTCTTTTTCCTCCATCTGGCCTTCCAGGTTCAAGCAAAGCCAGTGTCATTTGCCCAGGCCTCTCAGGATTCCTTTTGCTTCCAGAGACTCCCTCTTTACTCCCCACGCCGGGTACCCAGAAAAGTCCTTGAAAGAAATTGTTCTCCTCCTCCCCAGGGGTGGGGGGTACCACTTGGCCAGTGAATGGTTACTCCCAACCTTACCCATGAGCTCAGACACTGACAAGGCTGCAGGTCCTGCTCAAATCAAAATAGGAGCTATCAAATCCCGGGAGGGCCCCTGGCTCTGAGCCCAGTCTTCTTGCCTTCAGGATTTCTCCTGGCACAGAATCAGGAGGGAAACGCGCTCTTTCACTTGAACGCAAGTGAGGACTCGGACAGCAGAGGGAGCCAGCAGCCCGCGGTTGGCGCTGAGGCCCGGCTTCTGAAATCCCATCTGTTCCCAGAGCTTGTTGGCGCCCCCCGTGCAAGTTGGGGCACACAGAAAATACAAGTTTTCTTAAATGAATGCCTCCCAAGGGATCAGAAACAGGGCCCGCTGGGGTTTTCTTACAAATTCGTAACCTGCGTGGCTCTCCCGTGCCAATTAAATAATCAGGAGGAAATACCGCGTTTGTCTATTAAAGCCTGGTGTTGCTTCTCAGAGACTCACGGTGTAATATCAGAGGGAATTTACCTTCCATTGGGATTCTTTTGCCATTAACAATTCTTCCTCTCCGTGGGAACTTGCATGTCGCCTCTTCCCCTCGGCCCTCAGAACGCTTACTCTGTGGGCACACAGGAAAAGGTATGGGGGTCTCTGTGCTGAGCGCCCCAAGTTCCTCGTCTATAGGCAGACATTTTGATAAGCTAATCAGCTCTTTAACCAACTATCTGATAATATCTGATTTTTAAAAAGGCTTTCATAAAGTACTTTGTGCTATAGTAATATTTCCAAAGAGGAGCTGAACCCATTTATTGCAATGAACTAACATTTCGAATGCAATGCTGCTTTTCACCCAGCAACCCACGGCCAGGCCGGGCCTTCTTATTCCTGTTCTTCCGCCGAGGAGTCAGAATTATTTGCACCGCCTGCTCGTGTTCTCCACAGATTTCGTGGGGGCAGGTGCTGTGGGTTTCTGGAGATGAGCACTAACAGCTGTGCCACTCGGGACTTTGAGGAACGCCCAGTCTCCCACCAGCGTTCTCCACGGGGGTATCTGGGTAGTTTTCAAGGCCCCGTGCAGCCCCCACACCTATTTTCTCTGTGGCACCGCGGAGGTCTCAGCCGCACGACTTTCAGCTGGACGCCAGGAGTCTCCACAGAAGAACGTTGATCACTCATGACGTGGGGCGGAGAGATCCACACTGCTGAAGTTTATCAGAGGAGCCAAAGTCTGCCTTTATCTCACTCGGATACTACAGGATGCCTGGGGCTGAAGGATCAGGGAGGGGCAGCGGGGCCAGGAGGGAACCTGGAAGAAGTGAGAGTAGGGGCTTTGGATTAAGCCTGGATTCATAACAGGTGGAATGACACTTCTCAAGGAGGCCTGTTCTGTTTTGTTTTCAAGAGATGGGGTCTCTCTGTGTTGCCCAGGCTAGCACAGTGCTGCAATCACAGCTCACTGCAGCTTTGACCTCCTGGGCTTAAGGGATCCTCCCCCTTCAGCCTCCCAAGTAGCTGGGACTATGGGACTATCGGTGTGAGCCACTACACCTTGCTAGTTGTTGTTTCTTCCCCCCAATCCCCCACCTCACCCCATCCCATAGAGACTGGGGTCTCACTTTGTTGTCCAGGCTGGTCTTGAACTCCTGGCTTCAAGCAATCCACCCTCCTCAGCCTCCCAAAGTGTTGGGATTACAGGCATGAACTACCACACCTGGCCAAGGAGGCTTGTTTAAAATGATGCATCGAGGCCAGGTCATGCCCATAATCCCAACATTTTGGAAGGCCGAGGTGGGTGGATTGCTTGAGCTCAAGAGTTCTAGACCAGCCTGGGCAACATGGCAAAACCCCATCTCTACCTTAGCCAGTTGTGGTGGTTAGCACCTCCCAGCTACTCAGGAGGCTGAGGTGGGAGGATCGCTTCAGCCCAGGAGGTCAAGGCTGCAGTGAGCCAAGATTAGCACCACTGCACTCCAGCCTGGGTGACAGTGAGACCCTGTCTCAAAATATATAAAATGATGCATCCTGGATGGTGGTGACCACAGAGCCTGACCTCAGCCAGTCAGTGTTGTTATCAGGGTCCTCTCAGAGGCGTATGACTCACATTTAGGTCCAACAGCACACTTTGTGATAAATGACAGCATCAGCATTGTTCAAACTACTCAACAGACTGAAACAGTTGGTCAGATCTGTAAGATGAGATTTAACTGAGATACATGTCTTCTTCCCTTTCCATTTTGAATGGAGAAGAAATAACCCCAAAACACCACAGGTGAAAACACCTTAGGTGTTGGGATCGCCTCTGAGCTTATGTGAGACAGGACGCCAAAAAAATGGGGTAATCATAGGCTGCATGCATCCTAAGGATATTGGATCCAGAGTTGGAGGGCCAGTACCAGTGCCGGAATGCCGTGCTCATTTCTGCCTGTCTTTGAAAGGAGCCCAGGAGGGTGGGAGACTGAGACCAAGGCAGGGAGCAGCAGTGGGAAGCCCAAGATGCTTGGTCCAGGAGAAGAGGCTGGGAGAGGGACAGGATAAGGCAGCCACCTCCAAACAGGGAAGGGCAGCCTCAGGAAAGGGGAAGGGAATCAGACCCTATAGGCTGGGAGCTGCATTGGCCCAGGGCATTGGAATCCAACAGACCTGTGTTCGAATCCAACCAAGTGGGTGAGCAATCTCCTTAGCCCTTCTGAGCTGCAGCTTCCTCAACCAAGGGATAATGGGACAATTGAGCTCCCAGAGCCACTCAAGGACAGGATGACAGCCGCGAAGTGCTCAGGAAAGTGCCAGAAGCATGGGAAGTGCTTCAGAAAGTGTACCTTTTGTTACTATCTGGTGGAAATTAGATGGAGGCAGATTTTGGTTTAGTGTAACAGAACCTTGCAACTCTTGGAGCTGCCTTACTGCAGAGTGCAATATGGGCAGGATACGAATATTCAGGTGGTCACAATACTGAAAACTCAATGCTTTTGTGTACTTTGCTGCCTACTTGGAATGATTGCAAGTATTTCCTATTGCCTCAAAGGAGAGTTGACAATTATGCTCTCCCTGCCTTTGAGGAAAGAACTATGCTTGGCCCCTATCTGATTACCCCATGTGGACCCCTTCCCACCACCGCACTGCAGAACAGCCAATCAGAGGGGAGGGGTGGGAGGCCCACAGCTGGACCAGAGGAGGCTGTCCCTAACCTGGGGCAGTGGTTAATGTCACCCCCATTAAGAGAGGCTCAGCCTCTGACAGCACAGAAGCTGTGGAAGCAGAGACTGGCTAGACAGGGCTGGGAAGTAGAGAAGATTCAAGTATGAGGGGAGGGGGATGTCACTTCCCCCTCTGAACAGCATCTTTCTTAGAGCATCAGTGATGCGAGAGACGTTCACTGTGGCTCATGGATTGTGGTTGTGTCTTTTACCTCCAGCTGAGGGCTTTTCTTGATTCCACTTCCTGCTGTACCCTACGGCCAGTTCTCTGTCAAGTTGAGGATTTGGGCTCAGCTGGCAGGGCATGTAGCTGAGCACAGGAGGGAGATGTTGAGGGGTTGAAGCTGACAGGTCTCCCAAGGCTGAGCTCACACCCAGTCTCAAGGTGCAGAAGGCAGGGCAGCCAGTCTGCCTCCCAGTACCTTTAGGTGACCAGGCAGAGAGTGTCATGGCCTTGCAAACGTGAATCCTGGCACATCACTTCCCTGGCAACAGAAGTAATAAATTGGCTGTCACTGGTGCTACAGAGGAGGAAGCTCGAGAACGTAGCTGACTCCCAGACTCACGCTGCACTGGCTGGGGCTTCCTCGTACTGCCTCACACTAGCTGCCTCCTGACTGCCTTTTGTACTCTTGTCCTTCTGCTAGACCTTACATGGTCTTCTGGAGGTGGTAAGGGCTGCCCCAAATATATAGCAAACCTTGCATTCTTAGGAATGAAGTGCTGGCATAGAGAGCTTCTCTTTCTTGGTCCTTAGCTTGACTGAGCCAGGTGAGCCTGGAGGTCACACAGCATCAGACCCTCTTGGAACCTGCGACAATTGTCAGCCTTTGCCATGGGGTTTCTGGACTGAGATTCTTGGTCTTAGTGGAAAGAGGGGCTGGGGTGAAGGTTGATGTCCTCTTCCTCTGCCAATCTCTTCTGATGGCAAACCATGGTACTTAGATAAAGCCAGTGAGAAAACCAGGACAGTGAGAGGAGTGGGGAACAGGAGGGCCTCACTGTCCAGCACAGATGCTCCAAAGGCCTGCCCTGTTCCCAAGATTACCTGAGGAATGGGGTAATTTCCCTCAGGTGAGATTAGTATTCGACTGGGTTTTTTATAACTCTAGATGGAAATTCTGGTATTCTGATCCTGATAGAGGAGTGAGGAGTCTGAAAGGAGAATGGGGTTGATTGTAGTGGAGACAGAGGAGAGAGGCTGACTGTGGCAGATGAGAGGTGGTATGAACTCTTTGACAAGCCCCTTCCTGAGGGAGGGGGCCTATCTCCCCTTTCTTTGACTCTGGCCTTGACAAAGTATGAGGAAGCAACACCCTGACATTTCTGGACCGAGCTTTTAAGAAGGCTGGCAACTTCTGACCGGGCATGGTGGCTCACGTCTGTAATCCCAGCACTTTGGGAGGCCGAGGTAGGTGGATCATTTGAGGTCAGGAGTTCAAGACCAGCCTGGCCAACATATTGAAACCCCATCTCTACTAAAAATACAAAAATTAGCTAGGTGATAGTGGCATGTGCCTGTAATCCCTGCTACTCAGGAGACTGAGGCAGGAGAACTGCTTGAGCCTGGGAGGCGGAGGTTGTGGTGAGCTGAGATCACACCACTGCAAGACTGGCAACTTCTACTTTGGGCTCTTGGAGCCCTGAGCACCATGTTGAAAGTCCAACAACCCTGCCAGAGAGAGCACATGCGGGCTTTGAGACTACATGGAGAGGGAAAGGGGCCCAGCTGAGCCCAGCCTTCTCTTCCACTGTCCCCACTGAGGTGTCAAGATTGTGAGTGAAGCCACCTTGGGCTCTCCCAGCCACCTCAGCTGCCAGCTGAATACCTCTGAGTGACCCCAGTGAATGCCATATGGAGCGGAAGAATCACCCAGCTGAGCCCTGCCCAAATTCCCAACTTGTGAAACAGTAGATAAGAACATGCTTGTTTTAAGCAACTAATTATGAAGTAGTTTAAGTGGCTATAGATAACCAGAACACTGGCTAAAGGAAGAGGTCATGACCAGGAGCACTGACTCCCACATGCCTCTCTGTGGACCCTTGGCAGGCAGTCAGGAGGCATTTGGGCTTTTGCTGGGGTTTACACTTGGGATCTGGGCTTGTTTTGTTCTTCTTAATCTGTTGCTTTAGCAAGCGGACTGCAAGGACCTTGGGCACAGTTTTTTGACAGATGGGCTTCAAGGTATAAACTGGAAATCTCTTATTTGTCTTTAAATTGCTGAAAACAGGGACCAACTTTGAAATCCATGCCTCCTACCTGCTCAAGGATAATGATACAGAACCAGGAGCAGAGGGTATTACAGCAACATCAATAATGAGATCTGATTAGACCTGAGTGTAAAATTAACATTGTTGCAGTTTGTCCTAAGGAGGAAAGAGTGTTATATACAGTATTTAGAAGTTGGTTTTGAAACAAAGATTTTAATTGGCTTCCACTAAGCAAATGCTTCTTAGTTTAAAAAAAGGCAAACACAGGTGTAGTGTGGGATGAGGCTAAGAACTATCAGCCACTGAGTAAATGACTGCTCCAAAGGTCCCTCTGTCCTTCTCTCATGAAAGCACCATTCTGGCCAGACATTCCTCACCTATTGAGGAGTGGCAAAGCATCCACAAATCTGAAGCCCGACAACACCCTCACCTACCATAACTTAACATGCTGCTCCCTGGCTCAGAAGAGCTGGCCAAGGGCTTTGGAAAGCTTAGGACAGAGTTTCCTTGAAGAGTAGTTCACTGCCCACCCAAGTCATGCATACTAGGGTCACTTATTAAAATGAAGGCTCTATGGTTCCAGCTTGGATCTATTAATACTGAATCTCTGAGCCAGGAGTCCAGAAATAGGAATTTAACAACTTCTCTAGGTGATACTGATGCTTAAAACAATAACTCAGACTTATTCTTAAGTCTGAGAACCACTGTTTGAGTTTCTCAAAGCCTCTTTTAACTTCAGATTTGCCTGGAATTCGATAGGAAGCTATCTCCTTGAATTGAAATTCATAGAGGGAACCTCTATATTAAATGAGAGAGAATGTTGAAGCACTCTTTTTTTTTTTTTTGAGATGGAGTCTCACTCTGTCACCCAGGCTGGAGTGCAGTGGCACTATCTTGGCACCGCAACCTCTGCCCCCGGGTTTTCTGCTTCAGCCTCCCAAGTAGCTGGGATTGCAGGTGTCTGCCACCAAGCCCAGCTAATTTATATATTTTTAGTAGAGATGGAGTTTCACCATGTTGGCCAGGCTGGACTCGAACTCCTGACCTCAAGTGATCTGCCTGCCTTGGCCTCCCAAAGTGCTGGGATTACAGGCATGAGCCACCACGCCTGGCCAAGAGAGAATGCTGAAGCATTTTAAAGGCCCCTCTCCTCTAAGAGCCTCCCAGGAGAGGGTGTTTCCTCTGAGTCCTCTGGCCTTAAGGTACACTTTTGTTGTCTTTCCTGTTCCCTAACCCCTACCCCATTTACAACCCTGTGCCAATGATGCTGCTATCTAGATCTCTTAGGCAAAGCTCCATGCAACCAGGCCATGCAGGGGACTCATAGGTTGAGACCAGTAAGACTGAGAAAATACAGATTAAATATTGGTTCTAGAATCAGAGGGCTGTGTTTGAATCCCAGCTCTGCCATTCACCAGCTATTTTACTGCTAACAAATTATTTAACCTCTCTAGGACTCTGTTGATTGTTCTGTAAAATGGGGACATTAATAGCACCCATCTCACAGGGCTATTGTGAGGACTCAAAGGGATAATGCACACAAAGTGACCATCTCCTTAATACATGTTAGATATGATTATATTATGGTGGAAAAGGGGCTGGAAGCCATGATAAATGAGGAAAAGTAGAGGAAATAGAGAATTTTTATCCTGGGGAAGACATAACATTGGGAAGACCTGACATTTTCTAAAAAATTAGTGGTTATAATCTGGGAAGAGAAACATATTTGTTTGTATAATTGAAGTGATAGGACTGGAAGTAGTTGTAAAAATTAAAGGGAGGTCGGGCGTGGTGGCTTACACCTGTAATCTCAGCACTTTGGGAGGCCAGGGCAGGAGGATGGCTTGAGCCCAGGAGTTCAAGGTCACAGTGAACCATGATCAAACCATTGTACTCCAGCCTGGGCCACAGAGAGACCCTGTCTCAAATACAAACACTAAAGGAAAATGGATTTCTCCTGAATAAAAGGAAGGACTTAAAAGAGAAGTTGAAAGATCAAGTGTGCAGCCTCAGGAAGTAGAGAGTTCCCCCATCACTGGTGTAACCAAAGACAGGTGGCTGAACATGTGGCGGGACAGTGAAGCGGAGCTTGGAACCTGGGCTGGGAGATGCAATAAATAAACTTTAAAGATCCTTTCCATCTTGATTCTGTGATTCGTGATTCTAAGTTTATTTAAAGACAGCAAGTGTCCACTAAAATGAAGAGATAGGTTCTTTGCAAAGTGATTCTTAAAGCTGGTTTTTACTTCAAGCTCAGGACACCACCCAATCACCATTGATCAACTACCTTGGAGACAAAAATCTGTTTCCTATAACTTGCATTCACTGGTCCCTATTTTGCTTCTTGGGCCACAAAGGTCAAGGCCAGTTTGTCTTTTTTTTTTTTTTTTTTTTTCTGAGATGGAGTCTCACTCTGTCGCCTAGGCTGGAGTGCAGCGGCACCATCTCAGCTCACTGCAACCTCCGTCTCCTGTGTTCAAGCAATTCTCTGCCTCAGCCTCCTGAGTAGCTCGGATTACAGGTGCCCACGACTATGCCCAGCTAATTTTTTTGGTATTTTTTAGTAGAGATGGGGTTTCACCATCTTGGCCAGGCTGGTCTTGAACTCCTGACCTTGTGATCTGCCCGCCTCGGTTTCCGAAAGTGCTGGAATTACAGGTGTGAGCCACCATGCCCGGCCGCCAGTTTGTCTTTCACACCACGGTTTTTCAAATCCTTAGTGAGCAGTGAGTCCACACCCCTGCTCTCCAACATGCACCAGGTCTTGTCTTTCTTTAAGTGAATTGCTTGTTGGCAGTGCCTGTCAAGGAAGTCCTCACTCCCACTCCAGCTAGCGTTGTTTATATTATGCTAGGCAGCATTTATGGCACATGTTTTAATAGGCATAGACTCATTAATTTGAAATGTACCTACATTGGGATGAGTTTATCTTTGTACTAACTAAAAAAAAAAAAAAGAGTTTGCTAAGCATATTTATTGTCTTAAGATTACAGAGCAATGTTTAAGCTTCTTATGAGAAGTAACTCTTTCAAATACCCTTAAGCTCGTTAAAAAAATTACTAGGTCACTTACAAATCCATCCTACCTTTTCACTAAGACAAGTGACTAAAGGACCACCTCCCGGCAACTTTATTAGTAATTTATTGTTTGCTCTTTGAATTGGCATAAAACTCCCTTCTTAAATGTATTTCACTCCCAGGAACGCAGGGTAGGTGAGGGTGGGTGGGCCTATGATGGGGGTGTTGTTTGGGGAAGGAAATGGCTTCCTTGGTTTTGGTGACGGGATTCAGAGGACGTCAACTCAAATGCCTTCTTACCAGGCAAGTTACCTAGATGTGTGCAGTGAGCTGGGAGCACTTAAGGCAATATGGAGTGGGAGCATCAGTGGCAAACTGGAGAAACTATCCCCTCCCAAGCAGTTTATACTTTTGCAAAAGAGTTGGATTTTATTGGCAGATAGCCATTTTGTGATGCTTTTCTTAAACGCTGAATTACAGTCTTGCACAGGAGATATGACTGGGTGAGCTTATTAGAGATTCAGGGGTGCACTACCAAGATCTAATGTATAGGGAGTTCGAGCCACTTAAAAGGACTTGGCACTTTGGGTAAGAAAAATGAATCATAGATGCATCAACAGAACACATGATGAGATCTTTGAAGGAATACACTTACATAAAGATAGGGAGTAAGGTACCCAGAGCTTAGGGTATTTTGTCTAGGAGATCATTCAGGTTGAAAATGGGTCATGAGAGATACAAATGGAAGGATAAAATGAGCTGCATGTGTTTAAAGGTGGGGCTGTGCCTGGCAGAGGAGCTGATTAAGAGGCATAATAAGATGCGTTAATTTAGAGTAAGTAATGGAAGGAACTTTGGGAGATGCCTGTTCACAGGACTGAAGGCAAGTGGGACTAAAAGGGTATAATGAGAGGTGTAATGAGAGAAGGGAAGGTGGAATGCTCTCTTGGGTCTCAGGTGTGATGACTCAGACACACAGAGGCAAGACAGAAGGAGATGTCTGATTTGAAAGGGTGGAGGACCGGAAGGGCATAATCTGACAAGGTGCAAGGGAGCACAATGCTGGCAGGCCCAGGAGAGGAGGGGGATCCACAGAGAGGAGCAATAGAAGGGGCCAGGTACTAGGAATGAAAACCCCAAGGTGATAATTATCTTCTCAGAAAAGACAGCCGTGTCTTGGAGTGTTTGAGCCACAGTTTTTGTAAAGGGTACAGAGGAGCCGCAACTCCTTCCTTCTGTCTTGTCTTTGGACAACAGCAGAGAAAACAGGCTACTGTGCAGCATGGGCACTGAAGTAAAGATTTCTGAACCATGTGGGACAGGGATGAGGGCAGTTGTGAAACGTGCTTTTCTTGTAACTTTGAGGTTTTACAGGATCTTGGAGACTGAGTGAATAGACTGGGCTGGTGGTGGAAGTCAGTGACTTGAATTTAACATTCTCAGCCTGGAACCAAGTCTCCCCAAGTCCCCCGCCAACCCCACCTCACCCCACATCCCCTGTGGCTACAACACTGCGGGCATGGCTCTGGGGCTCTGCACCTGCCACCCCAGGCCCTGCTTTCCTCAGCAGCTCTGCTGTCCCAAGTTGTCATCCACTCTGAGAGCGCCAAGGTCACCCCCTTGCTAATCTGGTACCTAGTCTCATATAATTAATGGTGGTAAAGAAATTCTAGCTCCATCTAGGTAACACATGAATTTAAAATAGTCAAGTTTCATGCACAGGGGGCTCTGAATCACCATTTTAGTAAAAAAGGAAAATAAAGTTCTTTTATCTAACTGAATTTTTGAGTTACAATTTAAGCCTGTTTCCCTCTGCAAGGTAGTCTGTGGATGGTTAACTTGTCAACATAATACTCAGTTATCTGGACACGGTATACCTCATACCTTAGTTTCTATTTCTTTTAATGCTGGTGCCTATGGCTATTCTCCTGGTAACCCTATTCTTCTAAAGCATAACCTGGGAACTTGTAGAAAATTTAAGTATTTTCTACTTAATACCTGCACAATCACTGATCCTGAGGGTGCAGCCACGTGACCTGTGTTTTGACAAACTCTCCAGGTGATTCGGAGGCAAGCTCAAGTTTGAGTCGCTGTTCTGTTTATAGCAAAGGGTTAAAAGCACAGGCCAATACTAAGCAAAGTGGACGAGCTCATTCTGACTCTTCCGTCGCTTAAGCAATTCTACTTAAGGAAAGACATGACCTGGTGCTTGTTGGGGAGTAGGGGAGTAGGGGTATAGACTCACTGCTAAGGATTTGAAAACCTCTGCTATTAATACATCAGGACTCTGTTCTAGAAAAACAACATAAAAGCATGAACGTATCAGAGATGTAGGACAAAGGAAGCCACTCGATGTTTATTGAGTGTGTTACGATTTGCCAGTCATTGCCTTTACACGTCTGGTTCTGTTTAATTCTTAAAACATGAGGCTGTTAACTACTTTACCAGATGAGGAAACCATGCTCGGAGATTAGGTAATTTTCCTAAGAACGCAGATGATAAGTAATGGATGGGATTTAAGCCCCAGTTGAAGTCAAATGTCTTTTTCTCAAAAGATGATGCCTATGGAAGGGTCATTAGTGACAAAATTCATACATAGAAAAAGTATCCAGCATTACTGTGGCATCTTTATTCTTTTAAAATCACACAGGACACAGGTCATATTTAACATTACCCAAGTCTTCTTTTTTTTTTTTTTTTTTTTTTTTTGAGACAGGGTCTCTGTCGCCTATGCTGGAGTGCAGTAGGGCAATCCCAGCTCGCCGCAGCCTCGACCTCCTGGGCTCAATCTATCCTCCCACCTCAGGCAGCTGGGACTACAGGCATGTGCCACCATGCTCAGCTAATTTTATTTTTTGCAGAGATGAGGTCTCACTATGTTGCCCAGACTAGTCTTGAACTCTTGGGCTCAGGTAATCCTCCTGACTTGGCCTCCCAAAATGTTAGGATTACAGGTGTGAGCCCTCACACCCGGCCAGTCTTCACTGGGTTTCTGACCCATGTGTGCCATCTTGCACTTTAATATCCACTTTGTTTATTGTGGGAAAACAGCACCTCACAGTTACTGAAACATCGTACTGTGAGACTGAAATCTGGGTTCAGATCATCATTTTACATTTAACTAGAGGCAAACAGTGTAAGTTTGCTGGGCCTGTTTTCTTTGCCCTTGGACTATCGTTCTTATCCCCACCTAAAGAGTTAGTAACCTAACCCAGCTTATCACCGGCACCAGATCTGGAGCGCAAGCAACTGGCCTTCCCAGTCAGCTCATGGATGAAGATCTTCCATCAATGCAGGCCCAACAGCACCTTCTCCCAGGGGCTCCCAACCCATGTGCCAAGCCCTACAGAAATAACGTATAAGCCCTCCGAACCATGTAGGAATCATGGTCTAAACAGACCTTTTTAGCTTGTTAATTGGAATATTTTGTGGCATCCATTCTTATGCTAGTCCAAGAACTCTGGAATCTGTAGAACTGTTGAACCAAATAAAAGGAAGAAACTCTACTGTCAGCACTCAATTAGCTGCGCCGCTGGAGAGGAACAGTGACGTGGTAGATTAAAAAAAAATTGGTTCGGTTTGACTTTGGAATGCACTGATTTTTTTTTCAGTAGATTAACTTTTCTAATTATATTTTGCACAGCCTAATATTAACAGGCATTTGTATTCCCTGGGCACACAACATCTGACATTGAGAGCTGGGAGATGCAGCCCAAAAATGTGCTGGTCTCAGAGAATAACAATGTTATGAAAAATCCATGCGTGGATAATGAAGGGGAAGCTAATTATGAAGTGCTCTGCAAATATTAAATCATAAGCAGAGAAGGCAAAATAGTAATTCTCTATCGACATGTGGACAGAGTAAAAAAGTTTATTAACATTCTGAGAAGGACAGAAATTTTCAAGAATCATCATTAGTGTTAACAAAGCTTGATGAAAAAATTCGGATGCAAGGAGGGTCAATGAGTTATTGGGTGGTCTTTCAAATAAGCAAACCTCAAGCAATAATACCAAAGTGTTTTAAAAGAGCGTTTAAAATGAATTTTATTCTTTGAATTTTACAGGTAGTCTTTAGAGGCTTCAAACAAGAACTCTGTTGCAAAACTCTAATAAATAGCTTGCCCCAAGTCCCCAAACAAAATGTAAAACAAAATGAGAACTAAACTCAGAAGGATAAGCAAGACTTCAGAATGCTTGGATGTTAGCAATATTTCTCATTTACAAAGAGATATCAGGCAATGTACAATCTCCTTCATACAAGTCAAAGAGAGAAAGAGACAGACAATTGAAATCTTCACAAAGCACTCCGAAATCTTCCTATTTCCATGATAGAAATGTCACCAGAAAAAAAAAATTCCATGGAGAAATCACAATCAAGAATGAAACTGTAGCATAAAAATCTGGTAGTGAATGTAGCAGGGAGAAGAGAGGAAAATCCATCCTGTTTCTTTCAGGGATGGAGAGAGGAAGGAATTGAGATTACTTGGGTGAGGGAACTTCCAATCAGATGCCGCTAGAGTGCTGAATGTTCCCTTAGACCAGAGTTGCCACTGAAAGGGCAGAGGGGTCGGTTTAGTGACAGTTATGAAGGCAACAAACAAAGGGGTCTCCTCAGGTCAGTCAACACTGGCCAGCCCCATGTCTCTGTGCTCTACAGCAGCCTTGGAAGAGTGACCCAGGGGCCCAAAGCAGCCTGCATCACAAGACAGCAAAAATAGCACATCAATAATTTCTGCAGCGGAATCCTTTGGATGGCCATGAAAGGATGCAGAAAATGCCGTGCTGAAATTTCACACTGGGACATGCAGGTTTCAAAAGCCCATTCTAGTATCACAGTCATTATTCCTAACAAGCAATGATTAAAATTCACAATTAAACATTCACTGTTAGCTTCTCCTAGTTACAAATACTGGTGAAGTCTTGCTCTGGAGAGAAAGATTAATTTAGAGATATGGTCATTTTCAGCAAGCTAAAAAAACCAGTTGTGCCACATTTTTATCTTTAAAAATCTTTAAAACGTATACTTTTGACCAAAATGCATTCAAAATGCAGACAGATAAGGTTTTAGTTTGGGGGAATTCTGAAATCAATTAATGTTTGGAGCCAGGAAGCTGTAAGAGAGATTGATTCCAATTTAGTGGGGCTCAATTAAGCCAAACAAAAAAGAGTCTTGCAGCACAAGTGGGACCATCTTCCTGGGGAAAGGGAGAAGCAGGAAATGACCTCACAATGCAGGACTGAGAAGGGGTGTGGCCTGCAGGCACTGTCAGAGCTGCTCTGGTTTACAGACTTGCTGTTAAATATTTAACTCCGGTCCTGCTGATCTCTGGAGGACAGGTACAGACAGCACTAGCTCATGCACGAGTCATTCAAGGGAGGTAGGCATTTTCTCAAAGCAACTCCCTCTCCAGGCATTTTAGGGAAGAAGGTAAGGAAATATCCCTCTCTACTCCCCAAACAAGTTATAAAAACATTCTTTTTCTAGGAATAATGATATTTGTTAGAATAACAAGGGAAAGCTTGGGTTACCTGAAGTTGATAAGAAAGCTGATGGGAATAGAGGCGGATGGGCCAGGGGGCGCCCTGGTCCAAGGCCCAGTTTCTTCTTAAATACATAACAGATAAAGATATTGTGCAAAAAAATAAAGACATTCACATTTTAGCAGTTAAACTTTTATTTTACTGTTTAAAATTTTTATTTACTTTTTTTGTTTTTCTTTTCTACAAAAGGCAGGTGATGATTGTTGATCTGCAACTATTGTGTTGTGCACTCCCCGAAAGGGGGCAGAGTAGGAAGCCAGGGAAGGTGCTCTGAGGATGCTTTCTATGGAGGGAATAAGGGCTGCAGGACACTCACTGGAGGGAGTGTCTGGGCCCTTCTCCTGTCCTCCTCAGCCTTCCCTAGCTCATGTCTATGGTGTTGAAGACCCATTCTGTGAACTTCTTCAGCTTGTCCGAGGCGTTCTGGGACTCCTCCTGTAGCCTCAGGTTGTCCTCTCGCAGGTGCTGCACCTCCGCCTGAAGGTGAGCTTTGTCTTCTTTTTCCTGGGAGGCAGAGTGAAGTAGAAAAGCTAAGAGGTGTTGGCCCCACCTTGCCCAGCTCTTCTGAGTAATAGCTATGGACCCGTTTTGATCTTTTGTCCATTTCTATTCTTCGTTCCTCCAAACACCTGTCTAAACGGACTGGTATCAGGTGCTAAGACACTCTAAGCTCAGGGAGCAGGGCTTCTAGAGAGATTCAACCCTGCAGGATTAGCTCTAAGTAATCCTGGAATGTAAGTACATTAATGTGTATTTTAACATCCTTGTTAGTCAGGATTGTCTTAAATTTTAGACAATTGTGTTGGTGGCTGATGTCTTGATATATAGTCAAGGCCACCCAAAAAACAAAACATTCAGTTCTTTTGGTGCAAAAGCCCCAATAACACCGACTACATGGGGGTCTGGGCTACTGACACATTACACAAGGAGTGGGGAGGCCGGGAGAGGACCCAGATGGTGCTGGCTGAGGTTCACAGCCTTTCACAAATTATTGAACAGTTTTTCTGTACACCGGACACCGAACGCCTCCTCATGCTGTGTGTTCCAGTGGCAACTGAAATCCCTGCATCCCCAAACACATGCAGGCACCGGGAAGACACCCACGTCTTATTTTACCATGCTACTTAGAAAGGGCTCTCATGGTTCAAGGGTAGTTTGTACAGACTGGACAATTTGCTTTGAGAATACATGTTTACCTTCTTCAAATCTTCCCGAAGCATCTTCAGCATACCTTCCAGCTGGTCCACTTTAGAAGCCAGAGTGGGAGAGGAGTCTTTACTGCTGGGAACAAGAAACAAAAGACCATGTTGGCAGGGGCCTCCATGGCTGGGTTTGTTTTTTTTTTTTTTTTTTTTTTTTTACTCTGAGGAGGCTGTATTTATAAAATGGTTTTCAATGTCAAATTACTCAGTATGGCGACCCAATGAGTATTTTTACTTTAAAAAAGAAAATGGTAGTCTTAAAAAAAGGTAATAAAAGCTTGAACTGCAGCCAATCAATAGCTTCCTTTGTTAAAGATGCTGCATCCTCACGACTAAAGAATGAAGCACAATAGTGAAAATGGTCTCTTTGGCAGCACAAGAGGTACTTTCTGGCAGATATAATTGTCAAACAGTAAAATGATTCCCAGGGAGGCTCTGGGATCTCTCTAGTGGGCTTTGACAGAGGAGTTACTCCCCTGTGTGTGGGAAGGAAGCTGGGGAGCTGATGTGATAGGCAGGTCGTCTCTGGTCCCAAGTGTGTGGTCTTAGCTACTCATGCAATTGCAGCTAAGGTATCATGCCTACATCTTAAACCACTGGTCTAAGTATCTTGTTAGCCTAGGCTTAATGTCTTAAATTCTGTCCCAGTCTGATCAAAAAACCATTTTCTTCTCATTTTCTCATGTTTTCTTTTGTTTATGGCACGCTAATCATGCCGTGCTAGTGGAGTACCGAAAGAAGTGTGAGCTGGGGTACGGCAGGCCAGCCAGCGAGCTAGACAGACGGCATGGCTGGGCACGCTCTCACCCCGAGGGTCCTATGGCTGAGGAACTGACAACTTTTCTTGCCACACTCTCCTCTACCTGAGTTCAAGCTGCCAAATTTTCCTGATTCCTAGCCAAGCTATACATCCTCAGGGGCACACCACAGAGAACCCAAAGTCTTCCATCGGGAAAACATGCAGAGCCTCTTCCCAGCGCCAATGGGAAAGAGCTAAGTGACTCCGAATTTTCTAGGTCACGGAGTAAAAGGTATTCTTTACTTTAAAAATAAAGATTCAAGTTACAATTCCTGACCTCAGATGAACTGTGTTGATGTCTTCTGCTAATCCTAAGTCTACAAGAGGCCCCAGGAGGCAAAACCCACCGTGGTGTACAGTGTGGCAAGGCTGTGGGCTGATGGAGTGACCATGACCTCCAATCTCTAAGGCAGGAAGGCCAATGAAAAGCTGACAATGAATGGGTTTGAGAAGGGACATGGTCAGCTGCAGTCCATAACCGCATAGTATGGTACGGCAGGCTGGTCCGATTTTGGGTGGGCTGAAGGCCACGGATGTGGTAGAAAAGGGGCGGTGCTGGACAGACACAACGAGGCTGGGGCCGGGCAGCAGTGGTATCCTTCGCAAAGCCACTGCAGCTCATCAGGACTGCAGCAACGCTCAGGAGCATTCTGTCTATTCACCTCCATTTCCATTTGTTCAGTCCATGCTGACCCAAGAAAAGAGCCTGTCATCACCCTCATCTGCTGATTTTTTAATAATCCTTTCACAGGAAAACAGTCTTGGCTCACTCACACTTCTCTCTGTTGGAGGCTCCTTCCTAACGAGGCACATTTGGGGCTTGCTTCTGGGATATGCATTTTTAAAGTTCTCAGCAGTCAGCCTGATTGCTGCTCTCCTCACCCCAGCAGTGCCAGAGGTAAGTGCGGCCTCTCTCCTATACTCATAACAAATGATCCCCTATTCTTGTGCCTTCTCGTTGAGAGCACTTCCTTGCAGACTTGTTCAGAGAAGTCCTCAATGGCAAGCCCCAGTTTATCTGTGCCATTTACTTCAATTGGCTTTCCTGTTATTGTCCGTTTCTGACCAAGTTTTACAGATACCTGGAGTTTTAATCACCCTTGAAAGGTTTTTTCCTTTTTCTTAAGACAGAGTTTCGCTGTGTCACCCAGGCTGGAGTACAGTGGTGCGATCTTGGCTCACTGCAACCTCCGCCTCCTGGGTTCAAGTGATTCTCATGCATTGGCTTCCCGAGTAGCTAGGACTACAGGTGTGCACCACCATGCCCAGATAATTTTTTGTATTTTTAGTAGAGACAGGGTTTCAGCATGTTGCCCAGGCTGGTTTCAAACTCCTGAGCTCAGGCAATCTGCCCGCCTTGGCCTCCCGAAGTGCTGAAATTACAGGCATGAGCCACCAATCCCAGCCTCAAAGGGTTTTAAGGGAAGAGATTTCAAATGAATGAAATTATTCTGCAACAAGAAGTGCTTACTAAATGTTCCATACCTGACTGATGGGATGCTTTAACATACAGAAATTAGCACACATAAATCTAGCAACCTCACCATTTTGAAACTAAGGGGAAAACAGAAAAGTCGGTCTCTGCATAAATAGAAGTTGTAAAGTCCCTGCTCCTGACTGAGAAGCCCTTAGGACCTCAGTTATTGCCTACTTTTCACCTTCATACCATCTTAACCATCCTGGTGATTTAGCTTTCCAACACACAGACGTGAAGCAGCACACTGGGAGCCACTAGGACTCAGCAAGCGCATGTATAAGCATGACCATCAGCAACACTGCGAAAGAGACTGAAAACCCAGACTGCAGGACTACACAGCACAGAGCACAGGAATACTTAGAGCAAATGGTCTCTCCTACCTGCCCCAACTGGCCCTGAGGGCATAAATGTATTATGACATTAAATAATAATGAATATTCATCATTATGGCCGTATAAGTCATCAAGAATAGTTTAATTATGTCTACAGTATTCAGTTACAAAGCGTTCTGACTAAAATGTAAAGTGTCTAGCCCTGCAGTGATCAGCTTCACTCAGCTACTCCGTGTGGCTTCCATCTCTTCTCCCCACAGATGCAGTCAGTGGCAGATGTGACACAAGGTGCAGAGTACTGCCCTTGCACTGGGACCAACCTGCTGTAAGGCTTCATCTGGGCCAGAGCCTGGTCCTCCAGCTGATCACTGTTGGATGCAGCACTCAAGGGGCGATGGTTTTCATCACTAGCAGCAAAAAATGAGGCTCTCTGGACTGGAAAGGAGAGAAGAAACCATTTAGTATTTTGGAACCACATCCCTGGCCCTATCTATCAAAGTCAACAAGTGGTCTAGTTGGCAGTCATGTCTAGTATTTCCAGTGCAGGATGCACTGGAAATCTTATTTCCCAACCCTCACAGGGAAAAATATGACTGTTTTAGCTATAAGAGGATTGTAGCCATGTAATTTCCCTTTAAGAAACATTTGTGAGTCAATTTCTAGTCCCCCCTCTTCCCTGCTCATCACTGTAGCATTCTATGAAATGTTTCTCTGGAAACAGTCCTTGTGCCAAATTTCCAGACCAAGGCTTTCCACTCAGCAATGAAATAAATGCGTTCGAGAGCTAGCATTATGCTTAAAACTTCTTGAAGTATGTTTTCCACCACAAGATTCCTGGACACTCTGGTTGGCTTTAACATAAATCCATACCACCTGTATTCCAAAACATACCAAGTTAAAATTTAAGCCAAGAAAACTAAATCAAATTTAAAATAATCTCCCATTAGAAACCAAAACTTCTACCATTTGTATATGAAGGAGATTAACCAACACACTGAAAAATCAAGTTAGAACTGGGAATTTCCATCTGCTAAATAAACAGCATGAAGGTAAAAGGATTCACTGCTGACCATTCCATGGTTGCCCGACGTACAGATTCTGTGGCCTAGTACATTTCTCCCCAAAATTAAAACTTGACTAAATAGCAATTTTCAATTCTCCTAATTAAGAGCAACAACAACAACAAAAACAGAAAAAAAAATCACCTGCTATAAGTTTGTAAAGAATAATAAAAATTTTAGAAAGATCTTTAAACTTAGAAAAAAGTCAGTCTTCATTCAAAAAACAAAAACCCCAGCTGACAATCTTATGTCAACACACACATACTGCACTACTTTTTGTGTTTTCATTACAGCAGGCAAGATCAGCACCAGTCTGAGGACCTGCATTTAAGAACCGCCAGCCTAAAGCGAGCACACGGCCAGCAGGCTGGCAAGGAGACAATGCAGACAGACAACGCGCTACCGCGCACGGAGATGAGGGAGAACGGCAAAGGGGGCGCCCCACATTTGTGAGGATAGGCGCGTGGCCAAGCAGGGCAGGCACTGTGACATTTAGCAACAATGTCTTGCGACGTGATGAAAGATCCTCTCTGGATACATGTTCTTTTTAGTCAAGGGACAGCTGGGATTCCTCTACCCATTGCCCTTCCCATATACGGAGGAGGCGAGGCATTCATGTTATGAATCCTGTGGAGGAAACACCAGGTGGCATCTGATTACATAAAACATGTGCCTAGGTGTCCAGCTTAGGGTCTGGTCCCTACTGAATGCTCAGTAACTGATAGCTCATCTGGTGAGGCACATATGTTTTGAGTGTGTCCAGAGAAGTAGAGTGGATGGAGACTGCTCACTCCGCTGCAGGATCCTGGGCTGTCTTGTGTGGATTCAGTGGACTCACCCTCATAGGCTTTGGCAGCATCTACCAGGTTGGACCAATCCAAGTCTGCAGCAGTGTCAGGCAGGGGCATCAGGCCAGGGTCGGGCATAGGCTGCCTGCGGGTCTCCTGGATGTCAGTGAGGGAGCTGTCCGAGGCTGAGAACTCTCCTGCGGGAAGGGAGGAGGAATGAGATGCTTCTTGTGCCTGTGGAAGAGCCACTCAAAACTTACCTCTTTCCTGTTACCACAATAGATTGTAAGCCATTTGTGACTGTTATCAATGTCCAGGTTAGCAGGCTGTTAGTGGCTATTCTAAAGCTGACTTGAAATAGGAATCGGCTTCCTCTAGTCTGCCTTCATTTTTTCACAACCTCCCATCATCTCCCTTCCAGCAGTGAGTCATGGCAAAGTTAGTTTTGCATGGAGGCACTAAGTCTGCTTTTGTGAGAGCTGTCTGTCCACAGCAGGGCCTAGGCAGCACTAGCATCTACTTTCCTGCACAGAGTCAAGGGATTTGGGCCAGGAAGAAGAGGCCTACTTCAACAGGGAGCTGGATTTTGGAGCCAGACCAGGGATGTTTCTTCCTACTAGAGGGGACAATAGGGCTTATTTTTTTATTTTTTGAGACATATTCTCACTCTGTAGCCCAGGCTGGAGTGCAGTGGCATGATCTCGGCTCATTGCAACCTCTGCCTCCAGGGTTCAAGCAATTCTCCTGCTTCAGCCTCCCAAGTAGCTAGGACTAAAGGTATGTGCCACCATGCCCGGCTAATTTTTGTATTTTTAGTAGAGACGGGGTTTCACTATGTTGGCCAGGCTGGTCTTGAACTCCTGACCTCGTAATCCGCCTGCCTCAGCCTCCCAAAGTGCTAGGATTACAGGCGTGAGCCACCACGCCCAGTTTAATA